>NC_000023.11:80947390-81250420 GCF_000001405.40 Homo sapiens | reverse complement strand
TTTTTTTTTTTTTTGAGACGGAGTCTCGCTGTGTCGCCCAGGCTGGAATGCAGTGGCGAGATCTCGGATCTTGGCTCACTGCAACCTCTGCCTCCCGGGTTCAAGCGATTCTCCTGCCTCAGCCTCCCGAGTAGCTGGGACTACAGGCATGTGCCACCAGGCCCGGCTAATTTTTTGTATTTTTAGTAGAAACGGGGTTTCACCATGTTAGCCAGGATGGTCTTGATCTCCTGACCTCGTGATCCACCCACCTCGGCCTCCCAAAGTGCTGGGGCTACAGGTGTGAGCCACTGAACCTGGCCAGTTGAAACTATTTTTAAGAAAGAAAAAGCAAGTCCATAACTCCAGAACATGGAGACAAGATGCTGCTTAGTATACTGCATTAAAAAAAAAAAAGTTAAAACCTTCATTATATTAAAAATATTTTTTAAATTTATTTTAAATTATACACTGTGAAATTCACCTTTTTGTTGTGCATTTCTATGAATTTTAACAAATGCATAGCATCATGTAACTACCATACAGAACAGTTTAATTACTCCCCCCAAAATTCCTTTGTACTACCCCTTTATAGCACTAGTTTTTAAGATTAAAATTTCCATTCACCGATATTCTTCCTAACTACTTGCATAGTTACTTTCTGGTTTCTTTCGACCATTTTGTTGAATAAGAGTTTAGCTTTTTCACAAAAACACAAACGGATAACCGTCTGTATGTCAGGACAGCAAGTATTTATTAAGTACTCATTCTGGGCCCAGCAGTGTTCTGGGGACTACAAGAGAAGACAAAAATACTACATAAAAAGGGAAACCATAGGCATGTAAAACTTTGCAGACATAAAAGATATTCTGTAATGGAATGCTTAATTGCAAGGTTCACATTATAAAAGGGATGGTTAACAGGGTTCATGAGTCCCCTAGTAAAATGTGTATGTTATAAGCAATAAAATGGGACAAGGAAAACAGTGAGGAAAATTAGTATAATAGAAGTATGCAAGATAGGTTGAAAATAGACTGTAGTTAAGAAATTATTGTTTAATCTAGGTCTGAAAGAACAAGGGTCAAGTGGAAGTTATAAGTTGTAAAAATGCAGAGGAAATTTACTCTCTAAGAGACATTATTAAAATAACTAATGAGATTTACTGGTCCATTGGTTGGGAAAGATTAAGAATTAAGAATTATTCAATCAAGCACTCATTTAACAACTATTTATTGAGCTGAGACTTTTCTTGACACTTGTTCTAGGTGTCAGAGGAAGAGCAATAAAGATAGTTAAGATTTTTTGTTTTTTTTGTTTTGTTTTGTTTTGTTTTCCCAAGACAGCGTATTTGAGCATGCCTCAGGCACTTGGAAATAACAACATAGTGCATATAGATAAACTCTGTGAGCTTTAATTCAAGAAGGAAAATGGGAATCCACCAGAATTGTGAGGGACATCCCAGATCCTTGGGAGAAGAATGTCAGCAAAGCCCCTGTGATGGCATACAGCTGATAAAGGTGAGAAAAAATAAAAGTGATTAAAGTACATGAGAGAGGCAGAGAGCCTCTCCCTATGATTCATCTTTCCACTGGGGATCCAAGCAACCCAGGCCAATGGACAGCGCTTTCTTTCTCCCAACCCCTGGAGCTAACATGGGAAGAGGCTTGAAGACACTCTGAGGGAAAGACACCAGGAAAAGCTGCGGATATTTTCCCATACCCAAGGCTAAGAGCAGGATGCCATTTTTAATTTGGGTGCATAAAAGCCAGTCATGTTTTGGCAACCTGGTGGCACAACCACGCAGGCATTTTAGTCCCTTGCCAGAGATTGGAAATTCTGTTCTGGAGTTAGGTAGGGGGTCTCCACAGCCAAAACTGTGAAAAGTGCCTCAGCAGTAGGAACTGGAATTGTGCTCTGCCCTGTCACAAGCCTGGGTAGGGAAGAGAGCTGCTACAGCAGCTGTCTCTTCTGGACAATGAGACTTGCCACCAGGGCCAGCTTGTTGACCTGGAACTAGTCTGTGTGGGCCATTGCTGGGTGCCCCAGCCTGGTCCGCTGAAATCGTGGCACAGCAGGGTCCTCTACAAAGAGTCTCTCAGTAAACAAAAATCGAGTATATACCTAGCTGTATTGAGTGCAGCCAGCTCTTACCTGTAAGTGCCATCTACGGGCTTGTAGGTTTACCTGCATGGTACAATATAAAACCTGCTGAAAGACATACACTATCTAGATTAACAAAGACAAAAAGACATAAGATTCAAATAAGCATAATCAGAAAGGACAAAGGTGACATTACAAATGACCCCACAGAAATACAAAAGATTCTCAGGAACCATTATGAACACTTCTATGCACAGAAACTAAAAAATCTAGAAGATATAAATATATTCCTGGAAACACACAACCTCCTAGGATTGAATCAGGAAGGATTTGAAACCCTAAACAGGCCAATACTGAGTTCCAAAATTGAAGCAGTAATTTAAAAAAAAAAACTTCCAACCAAAAAAAAAGCCCTGGACCAGATGGATTCACAGCCAAATTCTACCAAAGAAGAACTTGTACCCATTCCTCTGAAAGTATTCCCAAAACAAGGAGGAAGGACATCTCCCTTACTCATTCTAAAAAACCAGCATTACCCTAATACTAAAACCTGGCAAAGTTACACTAAAAAAAGAAAACTGCAGGACAATATCCCTGATAAACCTAGACACAAAAATCCTCAACAAAATACTAGCAAACTGAGTCCAAAAGCACGACAGAAAGTTAATGCACCACAATCAAGCAGGACTTCATTCCTGGGATGCAAGGTTGATTTAAGAAATATAAATCAATAAATGTGATTCACAACAAAAACAGAATGAAAAACAAAAGCCATATAATCATCTCAATAGATGCAGAAAAAGCTTTCAATAAAATCCAGTATCTTTTCATGATAAAAACCCTCAAGAAACTAGGCGTCAAAGAACCATACCTCAAAATAAAAAGAGTCATCTATATCAAACCAACAGCCAACATCATACTGAATGGGCAAAAACCCGAAGCATTTCTCTTGAAAACTGCAATAAGACAAGGATGCCCACTGTCATCACTCCTTTTCAACATAGTACTGGAAGTCCTGGCCAGAGCAATCAGGCAAGAGAAAGTATAAAAGCATCCAAATAGGAAAAGAAGTCAAATTATCTCTCATCACAGACAATAAGATTCTACACCTAGAAAACCCTAAACACTCTTCCAGAAGCCTCTTGGAAATGATAAACTATTTCAGTACAAATTTCTAATACAAAATCAGCATACACAAATCAGTACCATTTCTATACAACAATAACATCCAAGCTGAGAGCCAAGTAAATAATGCAATTCCATTACAATAGGCACAAAAGAATAAAATGCTTAGGTTTGATGTGTTCAAACCAAAATGTGAAAGATCTCTATAACAAAAACTACAAAACAGTTCCAAAAGAAATCAAAGACAACACAAACAAATGGAAAAACTTTATATGCTAATGATTTGGAAGAAAAGTATTGTTAAAATGACCGCACTGCCTAAAGAAATCTACAGATTCAATGTTATTGCTATCAAACTACAAATAACATTCTTCGCAGAACTAGAAAAAAACTATGCTAAAATTCATACGAAACTAAAATATTGCCCAAATAGCCCTAGAAATCCTAAGCAAAAACAACAAAGCCAGAAGCGTCGCATTATCTGACTTCAAACTGCACTATAAGGCTACAATAATCAAACCAGCATGGTACTGGTACTAAAACAGACTCACTGACTAAGATAAAAAAAAAATAGAGAACCCAGAAATAAAGCTGCACACCTACAGTCATCTGATCTTTGACAAAGTTGAGAAAAATAAACAATTGGAAAGAACTTCCTATTCAATAAATGTTTCTGGGATAACTGGCTACCCATATGCAGAAGATTGAATCTGGGCCCCTTCCTTTCATGAAGTACAAAATTTAACTCAAGGTGAATTAAATATTTAGATGTAAGACCTCAAACTATAAAGATCCTAGAAGAAATCCTAGGAAACCATACTGGACATCTTCCTTGAGAAAGAATTTATGACTAAGTAATCAAAAGCAACTGCAAAAAGCAAAAAATTAACAAGTGTGACGTAATTAAAGAACTTCTGCACAGCAAAAGAAACTACTGCCAGAGTAAACAGGCCACCTATAGAAGGTGAGACAATATTCACAAACTACACATCTGACCAAGGTTTAATATCCAGAATCTATAAGGAACTTAAACAAATTAACAAGCAAAAACAAAATAACCCCATTACAAATGGGCAAAAGACATGAACGGACACTACTCAAAGGAAGATATACAAACGGCCAATACACATATAAAACAATGCTCCACATTACTAATCATCGGAGAAATGTTAATCAAAACCACAATGAGATACCATTTCACACCAGTCAGAATGGCTACTATTAACAAGTCAAAAAGCTGGCGAGGCTGTGGAGAAAAGGGAATGCTTATATGCTGTTGATGCGAACATAATTTATTTCAGCTACTGTGGAAAGCAGTTTGAAGATTTCTCAAACTTAAAACAAAACTAACATTTGACCTAGCAATCTAATTGCTGGGTATATATCCAAAAGAAAATCATTCGACCAAAAAGACACACTTACTTGCATAGTCATCACAGTACTATTCACAACAGCAAAGACATTGAATTAACCTAGGTGCCCATCAATGATGGACTGGACACCATAAAATGGTAACAGACAGAACTATCTGAACAAAAAGAAAACTAACATGGTACAGCAAAACAAGATATATTCTGTAATTTCTATCTCTACAAGTTAAGATGTTTTAATTTGTAATATAAATATAATGGTTATTCATACAGTGAGGCATGAACAATCAGTAAATTAATGCAATGTACTTCTCTTTTCTACTCGCACAGTTACCTGCTCATATAACTGCTTCTGCATTTTAAGATCTCTTATTACATAAAAGCAAGCTCGCCAAACCATTGTGTGCAAAGGAAGAAATCTGGAAAAAATATATACATACCTATATATTTTTGTGGAATATGATGTGAAATGTGAAAAAATACACTTTCACATAAAAGTCTTGTTGCTACTAGGTAACAGAGTCTCCTCAAGGGCAGGTCTCACATCTGATTTATGTTTGTGTGCCTCAGAATACAGAACAGAGTGCCTTATACATTGTGGGTACTCAATAAATACTTTTAAGTACAGGCCTATTCAGAGCAGAAAGCCTTATTTAAACCACAATGCATCATTTGGATAGTACTCTCACAAGAATACTGACAAGATCTATTCTATTGATGCTTTAATCACTGTAAAATCAGTTACTAGCAGTATTTTCATCTTTCAATCCAAGCCTGTTTTGGCCTAATTCTAAATCAGAAGACATTCACTGAAGAAAAGCAGAGTATATTGACTTTCAGGCCCAAGAACTAAACCAGAAAAGAGGGATGCAAAGAAATGAAGTAGGCAAAAATGCTCTGCTAGCATCTGACACCTTCTAGGTTTTTCTTCCTCTGCCTAACCCCAAGTTCTAAAATGACCTCTGTTTCTGGACAGGAAAGAATCTTTCTTTTACCTGAACACAGGGAGGGGAACATCACACACCACACCGGGGCCTGTAGCGGGGTGGAGGGAGGGATAGCATTAGGAGAAATACCTAATGTAGATGACGGGTTGATGGGTGCAGCAAACCACCATGGCACATGTATACGTATGTAACAAATCCTGCACATTCTGCACATGTGTCTGAGAACTTAAAAGTATAATAAGAAAATTAAATTAAAAAAAGAATCTTTCTTAAAGCTGTTAATCAGATACTTGATTCATGAGCCATTAGAAATCTATTTAGAATTGGTTTAAGTTTAAAGCTGACTATATATTAATACATACAACTGGTTTTTGTTCTCTGCCTGTCTAGTTTGAGAAAGCAAACAATTCGAAGATGATAAATACACCTTAGGGCAACAAGCATGACATTACATGCTGCATGTTGGCATAATAACCTAAAGTTCATAAAATAAGAGGCTCAGCTAAAATTTTTCATAGAAATGTACCCTGTCAGCTAACATTTTAAATGTTAGTTTAGGTGATGTTTTGTTACTTAATTACAGCCCTATAACTGATTGACAGAGACAACTGCATGAACATAGTCCCAAATGAACATAATCTGTCCAGTCTTGTAATTCATGTGTCCCCCCAGCACTCCTTTTTCTTGGATTTTTTCCCTACATTTTTTGGTCTGTGTTTCCTAAAGAGTTGTGAAGATTTGCATGGAAGAGACATATGTTAGATACAAGGATTTTAGCAGTCAAGAAAGAAAGCCAACTTTGGTAGAAAAAAAATAACTCAATAAAGATGACTAAATAAATTAATAAAGTGCTGTAAAAACATCTGACATGTGGTAAGCTTTCAATTAATGTCAGTTGTCATTATTACTGTTATCATTTCAATAGGTGAGGGAGACAGTGTGGTGTATTAACAATAATACTGGACTCTGAGTCAAATTTCGTTCACCATTTGACTATTTGACCTATTAGACATAAGGTAGTAAACAAACCACTTAAATCCTCAAGGCCTCAGTTTCCTGATGTCCAAAAGAGGGACATGAGTTCTTACCCTCATAAATTATTATGATTATTAATGTAAATATATTAGAATATATGTAAAAGACTTGTATAAATATAATCAAGTAAGAATTTACTTATTTTTTTTTAATTTTTGTGAGCACATAGTTGGTATATATATTTATGGGGGACATGAGATGTTTTGAAACAGACATGCAATGTTAATAAGCACATCGTACAGAATTAGGTATCCATCCCCATATCATAGAGAATCGGGTATCTATCCCCACAAGCATTTATACTTTTGTGCTATAAACAATACAATTATACTCAGTTATTTTAAAATTTAACAATTAAGTTATTATTGACAACAGTCACCCTGTTGTGCTATCAAATAGTAGGTCTTATTCATTCTTTCCAACTTTTTTGTACCCAATAACCATTCCAATCTCCTCCCGACCCCCTCGCTACCCTTTCCAATCTCTGGTAACCATATTTCTACTTTCTATGGCCATGAGTTTAATTGTTTTGAATTTTAGATTCCACAAATAAATGAGAACACATGGCATTTGCCTTATTGCGCCTGATTTATTTCACTTAATATAATGATCTCCAGTTCTATCCATGCTGTTGCAAATGACAGGATCTCATTTTTATGACTGAATAGTCCTCCACTGTGCATATGTACCACATTTTCTTTACATTTCATTCATCTGTCGATGGACACTTAGATTGCTTCCAAATCTTACCTATTGTGAATGCTACAACAAACATGGCAGTGCAGAATACCTCTTTGATATACTGATTTCCTTTCTTTGGGGTATATATCCAGCAGTAGAATTGCTGAATCATGTGTTATCTCTATTTTCAGTTTTTAGAGGAACCTACAAACATTTCTCCATACTGGTAGTACTAATGTACATTCCCACCAACAGTGTATGGGGGTTCCCTTTCCTCCACATCCTCACCAGAATTTTCTATTGCCTGTCTTTCTAGATAAGCCATTTTAACTGGGGTGAGATGATATATCATTGCAGTTTTGATTTACATTTCTCTGGTGATCAGTGATGTTGAGCACTTTTCCATGTCTGATTGTCCTCTGTATGCCCATTTTTTGATTGGATTATAAGTTTTTTTTTCCTCTAGAGCTGTTTGGGCTCCTTAAGTATTCTGGTTATTAATACCTTGTCAGATGGATAGTTTGCAAATATTGTCTACTACTCTGTGGGCTGTCTCTTCACTTTGTTGATTGTTCCCTTGCTGTGCAGAAGCTTTATAACATGATGTGATCGCAGTTGTTCATTTTTGCTTTAGTTGCTGGTGCCTGTGCAGTGTTACTCAAGCAATTTTTGCCCAGACCAATATCCTAAAGAGTTTCCCCCAATGTTTTCTTGTAGTAGTGTCTTGTAGTACTTTTGACATCTCATATTTAAGTCTTTAATCCATTTAAATATGATTTTTGTATATGGCAAGAGATAGGGGTCTACTTTCATTCTTCTGCATATGGATGTCCAGTTTTCCAGCACCATTAATCGAAGTGACTCTCTTTTCCCCAGTGTATGTTCATGGCAGTTTTGTCAAAAATGAGTTCACTGTAAATGTGTGGATTTGTTTCAGGGTTCTCTAGTCTGTTCTATTGGTCTATGCTTCTGTCTTTATGCCAATACCATGCTATTTTGGTTATTATAGCTCTGTAGTATAATTTTGTCATGGGATTCTTGGGGTGTCATTTTGCAAGCTAGAAAACTCTGTAGCTGGCAGCACCTTCTGCTTCAGTATTACTTACAAGTTCTTATTCCGCCCACTCGGTTCAGCATGCTGCACTTGGCTCATGCTACTGGCCTGGATCCCATACCTGCCAAGGGCAAGCCAGGGCAGAGAAGTGAGGGGTGTGTGGGTGAGCAAGTGTGGGGACCAGACACTGCGCCCAGCCAGGCATGCTGGCTTCTGCTGTCGGGCAGGCAGCTCCAGGCACTGGCACAGGTACCAGCTCCATGCAAGGCTGTGGCTGGACCAGATGTACTGCACGTGCCTTCCACTGCAAGCAACCTGTGTCTGGACGAGAGGAACGTGGTGATGCTTGGAAGTTGCAGATGCCAGGAACTGCAGAGCCCCAAAGAGGATGTCACATCTCTGGCTCGGGGACCCCCTAAGTCTGGGGTCCCCAAAGGGCTGCAACTCTTCTCTCCTTGTTGCCCACAACACAGTGAACAGGGGTGCATGTTTCAGCCAGGAGATGAGCTTCATTGAGTGACAGAACACTCAGGAGACCAAAAGTGGGTAGCTCCTTCCTGCAGCTGATAATCCCAATGTCTGCCAGAGTCTGGCTGAGTCTGGGGTTTTTATGGGCTCACAGGGAGGAAATGATTATTGATTGGTCCATGGGGAGCCATGGGTGGGCCAAGAAAAAGTACCATAAGCTATCACTCTGGGCCATGGACTCCACTTGGAACTGGCAGCCTGGCCCCCAGATTTCAGACTTTATCTGTCTTGAAGGTGGGGTTTCACCTGAAACCTACCCCTTTCCACCCCGGAGACTGTCTGCCTTCTGCCATCCATGGCACCCAGGCTGTTTGTGCCAAGGGGTGCATGCAGGCCCGTGCCAAGCAACCCTCAGCCTCCTCAGTATCCCTCTCATGCTCCTCAGTGCACAAAGTCTAGAGGAAGCTGAGGCAGCAGGGTCTGCTGTGTCAGCACCGCCCCAATCATGCACACACCCAGTTGGGTTGCTACAACACCCAGACAAGGCCACAACTTTGCTCCACCCAAGAGCAGGCACCAGGAGCGGGAAGAGGCCAGAGAGAGGGAAAAGGCACTTCTGAGCCTGCAGAAGCAGGGATGGATTTCCAGGCCCCTGAGAGGGCAAGGATGCCTGGGTTCACAACCTTGGCTGGGCATTTTCAGCTGCACACAGGAGCATGGGGCTCCCACCCTGCCAACTCAGTAGGGGATGGGGCTCCCACTTGTTACCAGCCCCCACTGGCTCTGCGGAGTGTGTAGCCCAAGCTGCATCTCCCCCACTGTAGCTGGCATCCCCACAGAGGCTGCTCCAGACACACCACCACCACCATCAATTTGAAGTCAGGTAATGTGATTCCTCCAGTTTTGTTCTTTTTTGTTTAAGATAGCTTTAACTATTCTGTGTCTTCTGTGGTTCCCTATAACTGTACAGATTGTTGTTTCTATGTTTGTGAAGAATGCCATTGCTATGTTGATATGGACTGCACTGAATCTGGAGATTGCTTTGGGTAGGATGAACATTTAAACAATATTGATTCTTCCAATCCATGAAAATGAGATGTATTTCCATTTTTTGGAGCCCTCTTCAGTTCCTGTCATCAAGGTTTTATGGTTTTCATTAGATCATTTACTTCTTTGGTTAACGCCCCGCTATTTAATTTTATTTCTGGCTATTGTAAATGGGATTAATTTTTTATTTCTTTTTCAGATTGTTCACTGTTGGCATGCCACATACTTGCAAATACTATCTTATGACCCATTATTTTCAACTAAATAATAACACTGTTTGCATGAAGAAACAAACATGCAAAATAAAACTAATAAAAACTTTACACCTTAACACCATCCACCTGCTTTTTAACTTTCTGCTGTTTCTGTTTACATATTATTGTATTGTCTATGTCTCCAAAAGATGTTGTAGTTATTGTTTTTGATTGGTTTATCGTTTAGTTCTTCTACTCAGGATAAGAGTGTTACACACCACAGTTACAGTGATATAATAATCTGTGTTTTTTCTGTGTATTTCCTCTTACCAGTGAATTTTGTACTTTCAAGAGATTACTTTTTGCTCATTATCATTATTTTCTTTCTCATTGAAATACTACCCTTAGCATTTCTTGTAGGACAAGTCTGGTGTTAATGAAAACCCTCAGCTTTTGTTTGTCGGGGAAAATATTTCTCCTTCAAGTTTGAAGAATATTTTTGCTAGATGTACTATTCTTGGGTTAAAGTTGTTCTCCTTCAGTACTTTAAATATATCGTCCCACTCTCTCCCGGTCTGTAAGGTTTCCACTGAATAGTCTGCTGCCAGATGCATTGGAGCTCCATTGTATGTTATTTATTTTCTCTTGCTGCTTTTAGGATTCTTTCTTTATCCTTGATCTTTGGAAGTTTGATTATTAAATGCCTTGAGGCAGTTTTCTTTGGGTTAAATCTGCTCGGTGTTCTACAACCTTCTTGTACTTGTTTCTTGGTATCTTTCTGTTTTGGAAGTTTCTCTGTCATTTTTCCTTTGAATGAACTTTCTACCCCTATCTCTTTCTCTACCTCCTCTCTAAGGCCCATAACTTTTAGATTTGCCCTTTTCCACCATTTTTTAGATTCTGTATGCGTGCTACATATTCTTTTTTCTTTTGTCTCCTATGACTGTGCATTTTCAAATAGCCAGTTATTAAGACCACTACTTCTTTCTTGTCTGATCAATTCCACTATTAAAAAACTCTGATGCATTTCTCAGTATCCTCATTGCATTTTCTGCTCCAGAATTTCTGTTTGTTTCTTTTTAATTACTTTAATCTCTTTCCTAAATTTATATGATAGAATTCTGAATTCCTTCTCTGTGTTATCTTGATTTCTTTTGAGTTTCCTCATCACAGCTATTTTGAATTATCAGTCTGAGAGTTCACATATCTCTTTTTCTCCAGGATTTGTCCCTGGTGTCTTATTTAGTAATTAATGAGGTCATGTTTTCCTGGATGATGTTGATGCTAGTAGATGTTCTTTGTCATCTGGGCATTAAAGAGTTAGGTATTTCTTGTAATCTTCAATGTTTGGGCTTGTTTGTACCTCTCTTTCTTAGAAAAGCTCTCCAGATATTCAAAATAAATTGGGTTTGTGATCCAAGCTGCAGCTGCTTCAGAAGGCATGCCAAGTCCATTAATTCTTTGGCTGTTGCATACTCATAGAGGTATCACCTTGATGGTGCTGGGCTAGTTCCAGGAGAATTCTCTGAATTACCAGGCAGAGACTCTTGTTCTCTTCCCTTACCTTCTCCCAAGCAATGGAGTCTCTCTCTCCCTCTCTCTCTCTCTCTCTCTCTCTCTCTCTCTCTGTTCTGCACTACCCAAAGGTAGGAACAGAGTGACACAAGTACCCCTGTGGCCACCACCACTATGACTGCACTGGGTCAGACCTGAAGCAAACATAGCACTGTGTCTCACCCGAGCCCTGCTGTAATCACCCCCTGGCTACTGCCTGTTCGCTCAAAACCCTGGGGCTTTACAATTAGCAGGTGACAAAACCAGCCTGGCCTGTGTTCTTCTCCTCAGTGTGGTGAGTTCCCCCAGATCCCAGGTGGATTCAAAGGTGTTGTGCAGGAGGCCGATAATAGAATCAAAAACCTTAGCAGTCCACCTGGTGTTCTATTATACTGTGGCTGCACTGGCACTTAAGCCACAAGATGTAGTCCTTTCTACTGTTCACTCCACTTTCCAAAGGCAGAGGTGCCTCACCCCGTGGCCACTGCCACCACAGGCCATGGGGAGTACTGCCAGACTGCTGTCAATGTTCCCTTAAGGCCCAAGGGCCCGTAAGTCGGCTTGTAGTTAATGTTGCCTGGCCTGAGACTCACCCTTCAGGGCAGTGGGCTCCCTTCAGGCCCAGGGCAGGTCCAGAAATACCATCCAAGAGTCAAGTCCTGGAGTCAGGGACTCCAAGAGCTTGCCTGATGCTCTACCCTCCTGTGGCCAGCCAAGCGGGTACCTTAAGCTTACAATCAGAGACCCAACCAAGGCCTTTGATGTAGTACCTGGGAATCACTGTTGGTTATTCAGGGCCTGAGGCCTCTTTAGTTAGCAAATGATGGATGCTGCCAAGATTGGGTCCTTCCCTTCAAGGCAGTGGGTTCCCTTCTGGCCCAGGGTATGTCTAGAAATGTCATCCGGGAGCTAGGGCCTGAAACAGGGGCCTCACAACTATGACCAGTGCCCTGTCCTGCTGTGGCTGAGCTAGTATCCAAGATACAAGACAAAGTCCTCCCCACTCTTCCTTCTCCTCTCCTCAAGCAGAAGGAAGGCGCTTCTTTTGGAGCTGTGAGCTGTGCAACCTAAGGTTAAAGGAGGGGTGATGACAGCATTCCCTTAGCCAACCCAGCTATTGTCTTAGTAGCTCATGTGCCCCACAGTCTACTGTATCTGGACTCAGTTCAGCTCTAGGATTTGCCTTAGTGTTGCAGCCCTTGTAGCCTAGCCTGCCTTTCAAGTTTACTTAAAGACCCAGGGCAATGTAACCCTCTGTGGCAAGGTTTGCAAGAACTCAAGTTCTGACTGCTAGTATCAACAATTCCCTTCTGGCTGGGGCTACTTTAAATGCTCCCTGTGTCCAGACATCAGCTGAGTTTGGTCTGGTTTTCCTTTCTGCTCTAACAGGACAGAACTGAGTTGAATGTCTCACAATTGCTGAGTTCTCCCTCCCCCAGCAACCAGAGAAGCTCTCTGCACCATGCAACTGCTGCTGGTCGGGGAGGGAGTTATGGGCGACACTGGTGATTCAAGACTGTTTTTTCTACCTTTTCAGTGCCTCTTTCACCAATATGATGTTAAAACCAGGTACTATGAGTACTTACCTGATTTTGAGTTCTTACAAAGGTTTTGTGTGTGTGCATGTAGATAGTTGTTAAATTGATGAAGCTTTTGTGTGTGTGCATGTAGATAGTTGTTAAATTGGTGTTCGTGTGAAGGGGATGATTGGTGGAGTCTTCTATTTCACCATCTTGATCCATCTCTTCCCTAGGAAATCCAAGTAAGAATTTAATTCAATAACATTACTTGACTTTTCTCTCACTACCATAGCCTTCACTGGAATCTATCTAATTTCCATGGTTTCAAGTCTTTAGACTGTGCCTGCTTTCTTACTGAAGGTTCCTTGCCACTTAGAAGCCACACCAGGGCCTCCTTGCACTGTCATCCTATTCTGTCTCTCTCTCTCTCTCTCTCTCTCTCTCTCCCTCAGCCTCTCTCTCTCCCTCCGTCCTTCCCTCACACACACACAACAAAACTTACTGGACTTCAGATAAGATCATTTTCTTTTCTTCTAGAATCCTGTGTATTATAACTTAAATGGTAATTGGTTCCACAGTGTGTGGCTAATTCCAAACACTGCCACTTTTTTATAGAAAGTGAGCATTCTCTAAACTACATAGTTTTCAGCCCTTTTAGAAATACATGGCTCAGTCTTCTCAAGTCTTCAACTACATATCCTTAGTTATATATAGCTACTTGATGTTTTTTGATGGTGCATCTGTTGTTGAAAATGCAGACTGTTGAGTCGCATTCCCATGGATCCAAATTTAATAAGTCTAGAGCACCCATGAATAAAATTTTAAACAGTCACCCTCTGAAATTTTTGAAGCAGGTGTTACTCATACTGCATCGTGAGAAACAATGGAATGTTTATAGAAAACCTAACACTGAGTCGTTTACTAGTCCTAAGTCATGTATTTGCTCTTACTGTTACCTCTCACAGGAATGTCCTTTGTCTTCACCTTGATTGTAGGTACCCGTTAATAGAAGTTTACTAGGCATGTTTTAATATCTGAAAGGGTTGTAATTCTGGTTAATTATTATTGCTTATTTTTTGAGATTCTGCTTAAAATGCAGAATCCTTGTCCATTTTTCCACACCTAGCATGTGTGCTCTTGCCTATTAAATTAGATATGGACACGATCTGCACTGGGGTACAAAGAAGTATTCGGTGATTATAGAGTCTGTAGGCTATACACACTGAAGTTTTGCATCTGAGTCCATACCCTTGAGTTAAGTTTGCTATCCAGGCTCTAAATTGGGTAAACTCATAAAAAACAAACAAACCTGGGCATCAGATTGGTCAGGGTAGTAATTCAGACCACATAGAAACTAGGGAGAAGAATTGGCAGTCATGTCAGGACCAGACATTGTGGATGAGAGGTCAGGAAATTAAAAGTAGCTGTCAGCTAGAAAACTGTACAAGTTCAGTACGAGGAGCCAGTGATAGCACTCCAATGGTTTAAGACCAAATGATGGCATGTTACACAACTATCTAGTTGAATAGGTACAGTTAGTTGATTGAGTTATGTAATAACAAGGAGAAAAAAGGCTAGAGTGGTAAAAGCAGAGTTGGAGTGGAACATAAGAAGGACAAGAGCCATGGGTACAGTTAATAAGTGGAAAAATAAAAATTTGAACTAATTTCAACCTTATTTTGTTATACCAGGAGATTTTCAAACCTCAGTATGACTGAAAATATACTTCAGAAAGTCAAGACCTGGGCCTAGGAGTCTGCATTAAAAACACTACTCTGGGTAGAGGTGGGTAGTCTATATATCATATCTGAAAACAGTAAACTATTGCTCTTAATTGTTTGCTTGAGGCACTATTTCTCTTTCCCTTTCTTACGTTCTACTTTTGTCAACTGAGGCAAGTTTCCATATTCACTTTTCCGATACTCAACTACCTAGCAACCCCAAGCATTAAAAATACAAATTCTCTGACCCTTTTTCTCTCTCCCCAGCCCTTCCAAACTCTGGGTTGTAAGACCTGGAGACTTCCTAAAAGAAAAAAGCAACTACTTTTTGGGACAGTTTGGTAGTGGTCTCTGCCAGGCATACTATATCCTAAATCCTCAAGCTCATAAGCATGTTTTCTTTGCTAACATTAAAATAATATTTATCAAAATTTTGTTAGCTTTACCTTTATTGAGTGCCTACTATGTACTAAGCACAGTGTGGAGCATATAACATTATCTCTAAATCCTCAAAATAAATCTGTGATGTTGGTATTACTGTCTTCATTTGACAGATAAAGAAAGGGACTCTCTGAGATGAGGGAAAAGGTAAGTAATCTACTCAAGACAACCACCATTAAATGATAGCTTGTTCCATTACATGAGATTTAAAAACATGTATCCTGAATCCAAAATTTGTGCTTTAAATTGTTCAGCTTTACAGTGTATGGAAACCCAGATGTCTCATAAGTACTTGCTAGCTCATAAATCTCCACAATAACTACTGGCATTAGTCTAAGACACAATCACAAAAATCTAAAAGGCAAAGGAAAGGGACATAACTCAAAACCCAGAATTACAACCCTTTCAGATATTAAAACATGCCTAGTAAACTTCTGTTAACGGGTACCTACAATCAAGGTGAAGAATTCATATGTCTCAAGACCCAGAGAGCCTTAATGATTTTAGTGGGAGACAGAATTGAAAAAAGAAGAATATTTCCACAGTTAAGCCTCATCTAAGAACTTTAAAATTTCCATAAGTTATCTTGCTGTTCAATAGTACACATACTTTCACAACAGAAGAAAAGTTTTCCATGTTACACCAAAAAATTCAATGGAGAACATTTTGCTGTAACACAAATCATAAAGAAATGTAATTAACAATCACATCTCCTGGCCATATTTGAATGCAAAATAATCAAAACATTGGAAGAAGCATTAATACCTTAAAAACGAAAAGCTGCACTGAACTGTTCATAAATTTACTTTGTAAAAATCATGAAAGACAACTAAAAAGAAAATGAGGAAAACCATTTCATCATCTGTATTTTATTAATGCATAATGCAGAAATGATTTTTTTTAACATTTGCCTTATTACTTTGAGAAAATGAGCAAGTCAAGGTATTTCTATATTGATGCAACCTATTTGTAATTGGAATCTACTTTTTAAAATCCAATTTGAAGAATTTAGAAAGGGCCAATAAAGAGACTATGTATGTTTTTGCAACTTGCTCGAGATAGCCTGTGAAAAACAGACTATTCTAGACTATGTAAAGAGCCTAGAGAGTAGAGGTAAATATTAATAGTAAATTAATGAAAGACAAAATAATCTGTTGAATGATGACCTAGAAAAAAACACAAACTTCCTCAACAGGACATTTAAAAATATCTAGGCAGTTAAGATGGGCCTGCCAAATGAGGAAAGTATAAAAGCAAACAACTGTAATTTCTGTGCACTTCTGACTTACCAGTTTAAATTCAAACTTTTTGTTTACCAGCATTAACAGTAGCTGACTTCTTCCTGTCTTAGTCGAACAATGAAACTATAAAATCCTGGATACGGATCCTGGCTCTAAAATTATTGACTATAAGACCTTGGGCAAGGTATTCAAATGCTCTGAGGCTCAGTTTTCTTAAATGTAAAATGGGCATAATAACACCTACTTCATAGACTACATAAAAGAGGAATGCAAAGTGCCTGGCTCCAAGCTTGGCACCCAAAAGGCACTCAATAAACAGAATGTCTTCCCACATTTATTTACTCCTTTTCTCCTACTTATTTTTCAAATTCATGCCAAAGTCATGTCAGTGTAAAATCCTGGATATGGATCCTGGCTCTGCTAAGTTATTGGCTATATAACCTTGGGCAAGGTATTCAAATGCTCATGGATATCAAAGTCCTATATTCTCTAAACATATTTTAGGCACACTGATTTTCCTTATATCTGAATTCTTACAGCAGTGGTTTCTAATCTGTGGTCCAGAGATCTCTGTCGGGATGAAGAATATGGAGGGAGAAACAAGAGTTATTGTAAAGGGTCTACAAAGCTCTACGTATGCAAAGCACTATCTATAGACTGAATAAATAAGTCTTGCACTTAAACACACAACTATTTTTTTCAATATGTGTAGATGCTGTTGTTTAAACTAAAATACAAATTCATTTCAAAGTGTTACCAAATTCATGACAGCTTCTTGTTATTATTTGTTCTCCCAATCAATTGTAAAAATTCAACTACTATTATAGAAGATTTCCACTTTCATACTCAGAAAAGGTGAATCCCACAATTGCAAGTTGTATATGTATCATATAGTTGTATATCATATAGTTGTATGATATCCTCCAGTGAGAAGAATGAGGCAGTAGTCATCTCTAGCATAAAATTTAAGAAGGCACCAAAACCACAGTAGTCAAGATAAAAATACTTAGAAAAAGTTTTAAAAATAAAAACTAATGCAAAAACATATAAAGAATAAAATATCAAAAGTTTAAATAAAGACATGATCTGACAGGGCCAAAATACAGGTGAAGTGACTGAGGTGAGTCATAAAAGTTCAAGATCAGATGCTGTTTCATAAAAATAGTGAGGATTTCACCCTGCATGTTTTAAGAAGGAAAGACTAGGTCATTATTCCACAATACGAAAAGTGTTTATTAAAATGTACAGCTGGACCTCAAAAATAGTAAGCTAACCTATGTCATTGGTGCTTTCACAAAGAAACAGCTTGATTTGGCATGCAAGAGTGAGAGAGAGAGAGTGAGAGAGAAGGCATGAGAAAGGAGAGCAGGATAGGCATGTTAAAAGTTTGAATTTAGTAACAAAAACAATTCTGGGAGAGCATCAACTAAGTAGTAAAATCTTGCTATTCAGAAAAACTAGTAGTTAGCCTACATTTCTTTTCCAGAGGACAGGTGATATCATCTTCCTTATCATCATCATCATCATCATCATCATCATCATCATCACTAATTCACTACTATTTATTTATTTATTGAACCGTTACTGTATCCCAAGATCTACATTGAGAACTTCATCTTGTTTAGTCATCACAACTATTCTGTGATGTGTATGTAATACTATTACCCCTATTTATGATCTAAATTTCAGAGAGAATTAAATAACTTGCATTAGATGCTATGCATAGTAAAATATTTTAGGGACAATATGAGTTTAATAAGGTATACCTGTAATAATAATAAAACATATATAAAATATAGCTATAGAACAGTTACTGTTTTAAGCACTGTGCTAAGCATATTATCTCATTTAAACTTTATAACAGCCAGGTAAGTATTATTATCCCCAATTTTACTGAGGCTTTGAGGTGTGTGTGTGTGGGTGTCTGTGTAGACACACACACCTGTACAAACATATACATATACGTGTGTGTGTATATATATAGAGAGAAACACATAAAAACATGCATATAAATATATGTGAACATGCATATATATTCAGCATCTACTACGTGCTAGTAATGATGCTAAGTACCATGCAAATGATTTTATTAATTTCATTTGATAGCACCCAGAAAATATTGCTACAGCAGTCTTGGACCCAAAGCTGCCACTTTTACAACTAGTGTTTGCTAATGGCTTGCCATGAGTCTATCTGAGTAAGCTGACTGAGCTCCAAAAGGTTCTCCTTAGAATTATTGCCACTATAACCTATGAAAGCTGATAAAGACCACAAAACCAAAACAGCAATTCAGTTAAATTGATAATAGCTATTGGTTAGTAAGAGTTAGGAACCCTCCTTCTAATCAGCTACATACAGCAACAAACTGCTTTCCAGCAAAGGACAAAATCCTATAACACAGTTTACTACATTCTTTAGATCACTAGGTTCAGACGGAATTGATTTAAAAAAGAAAGTATCCAAAATGATATTCTAACTTCTCTCTTCTAAAAGTGATGAATATGAATAATGACACCCTCAAAGGCTAACATTATAGAGAAAATAAATAAAATAAAATTCAACTCTCTTTATTTAAAAAAGAAGCCTAATGACACCACATTTCACAACTCTTTTAAGTGATAAACTGAGTTAGGAGTGATAAGTATTCCCTTGACTCCAAATTTACAAATAGAACTTCATCTGTAAGTCCATCTTTTTAGACATGCGTCTGATGAAATGTGCCATTCTTATTGGCGGAAGCTTTTGTTTTCCTAAGAGATTAAGAATGAACAAAGCTTTTACTGACAGGCTGCTGCTAAAATAATATTTAAATCTATTTCTACATGAACATTTTCCAAGGTCAATCCAACCTGGCTTTTCTGACTTCTCTCCTTCAAGAGCCACAGACCACCAACTTGTGAACATATTTGCCTTACTTTTACATATCAACATATTGTTCTAACGAGCACTGATTCAGTGACCCAATTAGGAACCACAAGATATGAAAAATCTCATTTGGGGGCAAATAACTACAGAAGAAATCTAAGATTTTTTTTTATCTTAAAGAAAGTTAGGGGAATCCAGCTTTCACCCAATTTAGCTCAGAGTCAAAGCATAAAAACAGGAATCCACAGACTTATCTTCATGCGTCAACAGTCAGTTGGGGCCACACATTACAAGGATGAAAGAACTCGGGAATGTTATATGGACGAAAATAGTGCCAGTCATACCACCACCACTTTAAACTTGTATAGGATTTTAGAGTTTATAAAGTTTACCACTGGCTTTATTTGATCTCTCCTCTGACTTCAACTCCAATTTTATTGCATATTATTCAGCCTGTTCTGGCCACACCAGGGATTACCTGTGTTCCTCAAATATGCCAAGATAATTTCCTCTTCTAGGTCTTTTCAGTTGCTAGCCCTCAGCCTGAAATGTTATTTTCTTTGCACATCACATACCTGTTTCCTTCTTATTTCCTTTGGAACTCAGTTTAAACATCACCTCCAGAGTGGCATCTTCCCTGATCACATTATCTAAAGTAAGTCTACTGTTACACTCTCACTCTAAACTCTGTCCTCTTACTTCCTGGCACTTATCAGAAGTCATAATTACATACTTATTTATGCATTTACTTCTTTAACGTCTGTATTTTCCAGTAGAATGTAACATTAATGAAAGTAGGGGCTATGTCTATGTCTATCCTGTTCAACACTGAATCCTCAGTGCCTAGCACAAAGTCAAGCACATAGAAGATGCTCAAAATATACTTGTTGATGAATAACTGAATAATGAATATATAATCTCTTTCACTATGACAACTTTATGGAATAGGTAGGGGAGTAGTATTATAATGTATAGTCATTTTTGAGTTGAGGTCACTGAGGTTCACAGAAATGAAGGGACCTGCAACACAGCTATGAATGGTGGAATTCACACTCAACCTCTGAACTTCATACTGCAAGTTCAATGTCCCTTCCACTACGACATATGCCTAGAATTGATACAGAAGAGGAGCATGGAAGCGCTGGGAAGGAAAGGTTGTGGTCCCTGGCTAGGGCTCTATCCCTGGGCCTGTGCCCACAGACCTAGGTGAGGACAAGTATTTCTGTTTTCCTGCCCAAATGCTGCATTTCCCAAGACCACCTTGGCCCATCATGCCCCCATCCTGTGCCCATAAAAACCCTGAGACCCTACTGGGCACGCATACAAGCGCCTGGACATCAAGAGGAACACAAAGGTGGAAGAACACACAAGCAGCTGGATGTTGAAAGGAACACACTAGTGTAAGAGCACACCAACAGTCACTGGCAAGCCACCAACCAGCAGAACGACATGGAGTTTGGCCAGGGCAGTCAGAGGACAGCCCGGCCACTGAGCAGCCTGAATCCAGGGGAAAACCACCTTCCCACTCCATCTCCCTTCTGGCTCCCCAACCATCTGCTGAGAGCTACTTCCCCTCAATAAAACCTTGCAATCATTCTCCAAGCTCACATGTGATCCGATTCTTCTGGTACACCAAGGCAAGAAACCCCAGGATACAGAAAGCACTCTGTCCTTGTGATAAGGCAGGGTGGGGTCTAATTGAGCTGACTAACACAAGGCACCTACAGATGGCTAAACTGAAAGAGCATACTGTAACACACGCCCACTGGGGCTTCAGCTGTAAACATTCACCCCAAGACACTGTTGTGGGGTCAGAGTCCCACAGCCTGCCCATATGCATGCTCCCCCCAGAGGTTTGAGTGGCGGGCCACCGAAAAAGTGAGCCACACCCCCATGGCACATCCTGTAAGGAGTATACGGAACTTCTCCCATTTCAGAATCTCCTTAATTACTAATAACTCCATGTTGTTTAATCATGGACACTTGCTCCACAGCCTCTGGACACAAATTCTAGGGAGCAGAGACATTAATGGATCACAGACTTCCTTAAAAAGGAGCTATCCAATTTTCTAGGTTCTTTGTAAAAGAGGACTGTCATTCTACTCAGGACACTCAAGATTTCCAAACTTCAGTAATATCGAATTTTGAACCCTCTAGATGCTGTGTGTAACTCACAAGCTATAGCTCATATGTCACAGCTATAAGTCATTTGTGGCAAAGAGCTCTTAATGTCACTGTGTTGAGAAATGAATTTACATTATATGTAACAAAGTAATGTTACATATGAACAAAGTAATGTGAATTAACTATATACTGTAGACCAAAACATATGAACAAAGTAATGTGAATTAACTATATACTGTAGACCAAAAATAAAATTCAAAGCCCCCCAGCCATCTAAATGGACCCCTCCTCTTGGCTAGGGGCATTCCAAAGTTAACCTGAAAATCTAGTTCAGGCCATGATGGGAAGGGAGAACTGGTCATGCCTCATTATACCTTCCTCCCTTTTAAAATTACCAATAGAACAGGCTCTTTAAATTTGATAAGAAACATTTACAAGCTATTCTCTCTGAAGCATGCTACCTAGTGGCTTCATCTGCATGAGAAAACTTTGGTCTCTACAACCCCTTATCTTAACCCAGACATTCCTTTCTATTGATTCCAGATCTGTAGATAGTAACTCTTTCAATCAATTGCCAATCAGAAAATCTTTGAATCTGCCTATGACCTGGAAGCTGTCCCCGCTCCCAGCACCTGCTTCCAGTTGTTCTGCCTTTCTGGACCGAACCAATGTACATCTTACATGTATTAACTGGTGTCTTATGTCTACCTAAAATATATAAAACCAAGCTGGAGTCCAACCACCAACATGGGCACATGTTTTCATGATCTCCTGAAGGTTGTGTCATGGGCCATTGGTCACTTAGATATGGTTCAGAATAAACCTCTTCATAAATATTAGAGTTTGATATTTTTAGTTGACAATACTATGGCTCCTTACATGGAACATTTTTCTATTTAAACCCATTCATATGAACCACCACTAGAAAAGGACTATACATACTTACATGAAATCACTATAATTTTTTTAAGCCCTGGTGTCTAAAACTGCATACAAACTGCAATATATGAGAGAACAAGAAGCATCGTGGTCACAGTTTATTTTGTAATAACTTGTGTAAATTCACCAGACAGTGCAGAAATCCAAGAAAGAAATGAAGTATGTTATCATATGGGTTAATACTTCAGGCATTAGTTCACCAATGTACTTATCCCATTCTTGGTTTAGGCTATGTAACAGCACATTCGGCTTACAAGAATTATAAAATAACAAATAAAAATAGATAAAATTATATTATTTTAACAGTATTTGCAAGTAAATGTTATTATTATTTAAAACTTAAAAAGCAAATGGAATCATTATGTCTTTTAGAGATTTATCAAGATAGCAAGCAAAAAAGAAATCATTTCTAAAGCAAATGTAAAAACATAAGACAACTGATTTCCTTTAGGCAACTGATTTCCTTTAGGCTAGGAAGCAGTCAACAGTCCCAACAGTACAAGAATTTTTGCACATTCTTCGCACAGACTTGAACTCTAAGGTTTTCCAAGTGATGAGACAGGCCCCCTGTTCTCAAATAGACCCAGCAAAGTAAGGGCATAGGGGTTAGAAACTGTGCAGAACAGAACATTTTGTTTGTTTTTAAGAAAAATACAAAAATGCAACTGTTAAATAGGAAACTAACTGATCGCTTTAGCAATGGATCTGGAAATCTTCTGTAGATCAAAATAAAATGTGGCCATTTCAAATCCATAAAGTGATTGAAAACTTTCCACCATGTTTCTAACTGGTGTCAGGTCTAACAAACAATGACTCAGTAACTGATTTTTGATGCTCCATTTTTTCATAAGAATATCATTCTTTAGAAAAGTCCAATGTATTTATTTCAGATACAACTTCACAATTCTTATGACAATCTTGAAAGATCTGTAATATGGGCAATGTTAAGCTCAACCTTACTTAAAAGGAACAAAAGCAGTGACAGAGTTAAGTGAACTGCACAAGGATAAATGACTTAACAATGGCATAGCCAACAACTCTATTAAGTTTCCTATTGTCATTCTAACAAATCACCACAAATTTAGTGGCTTGAAACAACACGGTTCTAAAGGTCAGAGCTTGAAATTAGTCTTACAGGGCTAAAACCAAGGTGGTGGTAAAACTCTTTCCTTCTGAGGGCTCTAGGAGAGATTCTATTTTCCTTGTCTTTTCTAGTTTTCAGAGCCCATCTACATTTCTTGGCTCATGACTCTTTCCTCACATCACTCCAACCTCTTGTTTACATCATCATACCTCCTATTTCCCTTTATGTCAAAAATTTTCCCTCTGCCTTTCTACTAAAAAGACCGTTGTTATTACATTTAGGGCCCACCTTAAATATAAATATTAATAAAATATAAATATAAATAAAATATAAATACATAAAATAAATAGATAAAATATAAACAAAATATAACAAAAATTATATATATATATATAGAGAGAGAGATATAGATATATATATATAGATATATATATATATATAAATATATCCAAGACTACACTGAAGACTTACACTTAAGACTTTTGGATTAAACACTTTAAAAATATTAGGGAGGCTCAAATTAGAAGCTGGCAGCCAAGATTGTAAAGGGCATAAAATATATGCACCATATAGAATGTTTGAAAGAACTAGGAACGTTCAATCTTTAGACAGATAATCAAAAGCTGTTTTCAGAAAACTGCAAGGAGACATGCCAGGGATCTTACCTTAGGTGAAGTGCTCTAATAGCAAGGAGAAGATTTACTTCAGAATACAAAAATCCAAACCACTGGGTAGATGTTAGAAAGAACCACATTTTGGTTTAATTTTAAATTAAATTTAAATCCTTTGTACTAACTAGAGTTGTCTAACAATGGAACAACCTATCTGAATAATTATTAGAGGTGCCAATGGGAGGTGGTTGGGGAGTTGTTGGTCAAAGGACATAAAACTACCGTTAGATAGGAAGAATAACTTTAAGAGATCTATTGTACATAGCATGGTGATTACAGTTAATGATGATATATTGTACTAATAAAAAATGATGAGAGTAGATGTTTAATGTTCTTACCACAGAAATGAAAGCTATGTGAGGTAAAAAGAAATCATTCTTCAGAAGAAGAAATAATGTACTGCCAACACTTAGGTCAAGGTATCATTCTTCTTTCAGAGGACTGGGATTTATTTACAATATAATTAGTAGTGACCCATAATATTGGTTAACATTTCAACTAGGATCATTGTGTTTCCTTAGTCTTAATTATATAAAATTAATTGGATCTAGCTATTGTGTTATTCACAATAGCCAAGTCACAGAATCAACCCGTGTCCATCAGTGGATGATTGGATAAAGAAACTGTGATAAAAATATACACCATGGAATACTACTTAGCCACAAAAAAGAATGAAATCATGTCCTCTGCAGTAACATGGATGCAATTTCCCATTATCCTAAGTGAATTAACACAGAAACGAAAGTCAAATACTGCATGTTCCCACTTATACATGAGAGCTAAACAAAGAATACACATAGTCATGCAGAGTTAAATAATAGGCAATGGAGACTATTAAAGGTGAGAGGGTGGAAGGGGGGTGAGAGATGAAAATTTATCTATTGGGTACAAAGTACACTATTTAGATGATGAGTGCACGATGTAATATAGCGATGTAAGAAAACTGCATTTGTACCCCCTAAATTATAAAAATTAAAAAGAAAATATATAAATAATCTCCTGCTCTATGCTAAAACAGTTATTCCCCTAATACTGAAGATCTTATCAAATTTTATTTTTGTTGAAAGAAAAAATTAATGCTTTTCCATGGCTAAAGAGCTGGTTAAAAAAAAATAAAATTGGTACTGGAGATGTCAGAGCTTACCTCAGACTTGAAAGGCTTGAAAGAAGGCCTGAGTATTGAGTGAAATATAGTCTCTATTTGTCCGGAGTTTTTATGAGAAAGCCATCTTTGTTTCACATATCATTCATCAAGCAATTATCTGAACCATCACCTTTTTTTTAGAAAAGACTGAGGTTGAGTTAGCTTTTAATCAGCAAACTCCAAGAAGAAATAGCGCCTCCTTCGTGGTTTCTCTAGTGACTTAGGGGGAAAAAAAAAAGTGTTCCCAACTCCAGAGTTGAGGAAAAAGAAGGAGAAAAGACTATTGACAAAAACAACAACAACAAAAAAGATTGAACAAAGGATGATTCATAATCCATTTATTATACCATATCCAAAAATGTAGTTTAAGAAAAATGCAGTGGAATCATAAGTGAGGCTCAAAATAAACTTTTTGTATACAATGAAGTTAGTAAATACAAACCATCTTAATCTCACAGGGTAATTGTGACCTGAAATAATGCCTTCTAGTATCTATTCTTGATTTACTCTTAGTATTGCCTCCAATTATATGGTTTTGGGTTAAGCACGTAACTTGTGCCTCAGCTTGTCTTCCTGACATTATAAATTGTGTTTTAAAGAAGTCACATTAGAGTTTTAACAAATTATTTTGGGCTGCTAATGAAAAAAAAATCCTTTCTTTCAAAGAAATTCAAAGCTCTTGCTATTAATCACATTTTAAAAATCTAACTAGCATTCCTAGGAAGTAGAGTTAAGGTCATTTCTTTCTTACGTGGTGACTGGGGTTGGGGAATGGGATGAAACAAAGGTTAACCCATTTCCCTAAGGCCCTTTACGCCCCAACACAGGGTTTCCTGGTTGATTAGCATACTGACGATGACAAAGATTTCTAACAAGTTAGCAGTAAACTACATTAAAAAGTCACAGCATTAAGTATAGAGTTCTAAAACAGTGATATTTCTTCTACAACAACAAGCAGTATAATTCAAAGTTTTATGATAAAATTTTTCTGGAAATTGAACCTTTTAAAGCATTGCATTGGGTATTACATTAGCCATGTCATGTAATTTTCTTCATTTATAACACTATCAACTATCATGAATGAACAACTCCCAATACTTGAGCTTTAGGGAATTACTGACTAAAGAATTTGGCCAGGTGCAGTGATTCACACCTGTAATCCCAACACATTGGGAGGCCAAGACTGGAGGGTCACTTGAGGCCAGGAATTCAAGACCAGCCTGGGCAACATAGCAAGATCCCATTTCTACAAAAAAAAGTTTTTTTTAATCAGTCAGACCTGGTACTAGGGAGGGTACTGAGATGGGAAGATTGCTTGAGCCCAGAAGTTGGAGGCTGTAGTGAGCTGTGACTGCATCACTGCAATCTAGCCTGGAACACAGAGCGTGACCCTATCGCAAAGAAAAAAAAAAGTTTAAAACACTAATTTTAAAATTGGTTTTAATTCAGTATGTCTTGAGTTTCATATAGGAATATTCCCCTTATCACATGATCTTACACTGTACTGATCCACAGGCAGAAGCAATACACAGAAAGCTTCCTAAAAAGAGAAGAGAGGTAGAAAAGAAAAAAAAAATCATCAGACTTATTTTAAGCTTTTCAAAACAAAATTAGCTCTTTCAGAATTAAGGCCTTGTTCTCTACAGAGTTGAGTATTTTATCAGTGGGTACTTAGGAAATATATATTAAATTGATAACTACTGGCTCTCCATGTATTGTATGGTGCTTGATTTCCCCTGCTTCCACAGTTTCAAGAATCTGATCTCCCACTTCACCACAAAAAAAAGAGGTAAAAAGAAAATGTTAGACCTAAAACCATAAAAACCCTAGAAGAAAACCTAGGCAATACCATTCAGGACATAGGCATGGGCAAGGACTTCATGACTAAAACAACAAAAGCAATGGCAACAAAAGCCAAAATTGACAAATGGGATCTAATTAAACTAAAGAGCTTCTGCACAGCAAAAGAAACCACCATCAGAGTGAACAGGCAACCTACAGAATGGGAGAAAATTTTTGCAATCTACTCATCTGACAAAGGGCTAATATCCAGAATCTGCAATGAACTCAAACAAATTTACAAGAAAAAAAACAAACAACCCCATCAAAAAGTGGGTGAAGGATATGAACAGACACTTCTCAAAAGAAGACATTTATGCAGCCAAAAGACACATGAAAAAATGCTCATCATCACTGGCAATCAGAGAAATGCAAATCAAAACCACAATGAGATACCATCTCACACCAGTTGGAATGACAATCATTAAAAAGTCAGGAAACAACAAGTGCTGGACAGGATGTGGAGAAATAGGAACACTTTTACACTGTTGGTGGGACTGTAAAATAGTTCAACCATTGTGGAAGTCAGTGTGGCGATTCCTCAGGCATTTGGAACTAGAAATACCATTTGACCCAGCCATCCCATTACTGGGCATATACCCAAAAGACTATAAAATATGCTGCTATAAAGACACATGCACATGTATATTTATTGCGGCACTATTCACAATAGCAAAGACTTGGAACCAACCCAAATGTCTAACAATGATAGACTGGATTAAGAAAATGTGGCACATATACACCATGGAATACTATGCAGTCATAAAAAAGGATAAGTTCATGTCCTTTGTAGGGACATGGATGAAACTGGAAACCATCATTCTCAGCAAACTATCGCAAGGACAAAAAGCCAAACACCGCATGTTCTCACTCATAGATGGGAATTGAACTATGAGAACACATGGACACAGGAAGGGGAACATCACACACCGGGGCCTGTTGTGGGGTGGGGGGAGGGGGGAGGGATAGCATTAGGAGATATACCTAATGTTAAATGACGAGTTAATGGGTGCAGCACACCAACATGGCACATGTATACATATGTAACAAACCTGCACGTTGTGCACATGTACCCTAAAACTTAAAGTATAATAAAAAATTAAATAAATAAAAAAGAAAGAAATCCTTCAATGGTCAGCCAGATTTCTGTAATCTTAGACGCAGAGTCTAGGACAACAAGGAATAAAGTATTACTGCAGCATATTACCAAAGGAGGTTGTATATTTCTTTCCTTGGAGAATTTACTAAGAGAAAATTGATAATAATATTTCTGGGACAATTCACAAACAGTCCTTACATGGATGGACTAGATGATTTCCCATGATCCCTTCTATACATATGCTTCTAATATTTTATTTGCAATATGTTTGATGGTGATAAAGGTGGAACAGACTAAAAGTCAATTTCTATACAATGGAGAAGGAACTTTCAGTGTTATGCTCAAGCTTTCTTAATAACAATTGACATTAATAACAAAAAAGAGTAATGTTTTACTGCATGACCTTTCTACCTAGATATCATTGTTTTAGTTCACCTAAAGCACCATTATAAAATGTGGAAAGCCATAATGCTATTTTAAAAAGAACAACCTTGATGCTAGGACAAAATTTATCCACTAGAGCAACAGGGCCCAAATGGATTCTTATGCTTATTAACTCCTGGGAGTAAGACACCCATTTTGCCAGAGTTCAAATGTTTGCAGTAGGGATTGTTACAAATATACTGGGGAAAAAGATAAAGGGGAAAGGTGGAGCAAAAATTATCTTTACTTATATAGTAATCTGACGGAAACCTAAGGAGAAATAATTACTTTAGCACTTAGACTTTTTGCCATACAGTTGGCCAAAGGCAACCATTGAGCAGCCACAGCATTGAAAATTCTGGCACAATAGGTGATTCTTATCAAGTTTAATTGTAGCAGCGACATGAATTAACTCCAAAAGTTAAGAAGGGGGTGAAGAAGATATATGCAACAACCGCTGGAGCACCCAGATATATAAGGCAAAAATTATTAGAGCTAAAGAAATAAATAGAGCCTAACACAATAATTGCTGGAGACTTCAAGACCTGTCATTCAGCATTGGACAGATTATACAAACAGACAATCAACAAAGAAATATTAGAATTCAGTTGCCCTGTAGAACAAATAGATCTAATAGATATTTACAGAACATATCATTCAATGCCTGCAGAATACACATTCTTCTCCTCAGCACATAGATCATTCTCAAGAATAGACCATATGTTAGGACACAGAACAAGTCTTTAAAAATTCCTCAAAAATGAAATTATAACAAATATATTTTCTGAACATAATGGAATAGAACTGGAAACCAATAACAAGAAGAATTTTGGAAGCTATCCAAACACATGAAAATAAGACAATATGCTCCTGAGTGAACAGTGGGTCAACGAAGAAATTAAGAAAATTGAAAAATCTCTTAAACCAATAAAAACAGAAATATGATATACCAAAACCTATAAGATACAGTGAAATATATAGTAAAAAATAAAAGTTTATAGCTATAAGGGTGACTTAAAAGGTTTTTAGAAAAACTTCAAATAAACAACTTAAAGGTGCATCTCAAAGAACTAGAAAAGCAAGATCAAATCATACCCAAACTTAGAAGAAAATAAATAAATAAGGGCAGATCAAAAATAAATTAAATTGAAATGAAAAAAAAACACTAAAAAAGATCAATGAAACAAAAAGTGGGTTTTTTGAAAAGATGTAAAGAATGGACAAACTTAAGCTCAGAATAAGAAAACAGAGAGAAGGCCCAATTAAATAAAATCAGTGATTAAAAAGGTGATATTACAACCAATACCACAAAAATTGAAAAGATCATTAGAGGCTACTATGAGCAACTATATGCCAATTAATTGGAAAACCCAGAAGAAATTGATAAATTCCTAGACAGATACAACTTACAAATATTGAACCATGGAGAAATCCAAAACCTGAGCAGACAAAAAACAAGTAATGAGAACAAAGCTGCAACAGAGTCTTCCAGCAAAGAAATGCCAGGACCTGATGGGCTTCACTGCTCAATTTTATCAAACATTTAAAGAAGAACTAATACAAATCCTATGTCAAAGTATTCTGAAGCAGAAAAGAAGGAGGAAATACTTCCAAACTGATTATACAAGGCCAATAGTACACTGGTACCAAAACTGGACAAAGACACACCAAAAAAAGAAAACTATAGGCCAATATCCCTGATGAACATTGATGCAAAACTACTCAACAAAATACTAAAAAAATGAATTCATGAACACATTAAAAAGATCATTCATCATGACCAAGTGGAATTTATCCCAGGGATGCAAAGATGGTTCAACAGATGCAAATCGATCAATGTAATACATCATATCAATGGAATGAAGGACAAAAACCATATGATAATTTCAGATGATGCTAAAAAAGCATTTGATAAAATTCAACATACCTTCATGACAGCAAGTGTCAAAATACTGGGGATTGAAACATACCTCAGCATAATAAAAGCCATATATGAGAGAATCACAGCTAATATAACACTTAATGGGAAAAAAACTGAAAGGCTTTCCTCTAAATCTGGTACACGACAAAGATGTCCACTTTTACCACTGTTATTCAACATACTACTAAAAGCCCTAGCTAGAGCAATCAGACAAGAGAAAGACATAAAGGGCATCCCAATTTGAAATAAAGAAGTCAATTTATCCATCTTTGCAGATGATATGATGTTACATTTGGAAAAACCTAAAGACTTCACCAAAAAATCCCATTAGACCTAATAAATAAATTATGTACAGTTGCAGGATACAAAATCAACACACAGAAATCAGTAGCATTTCTAAATGCCAATAGTGAACAATCTGAGAAAGAAATCAAGAAAGTAATCCCATTCACAGTAGTCACAAACATAATAAACTACACAGGGATTAACTTAAACAAGTGAAAGCTCTCTACAATGAAAACTATGAAATATTGATGAAAGAAACTCAAGAAGACTGAAAAAATGTACATATATAAATCTACATATATATGTAAATATATATATATAGTTACCTGATGCTTTTGCCTCACAGCTCTTAAGATTCTTTCCTTTGTCTTGATTTTATGTAACCTGATGACCATGTGCCTAGGTGATGATCTTTTTGTGACAAATTTCCTGGCTGTTCTTTGAGCCTCTTGTAGTTGGATGTCTAGATCTCTAGCAAGGCCAGGGAAGTTTTCCTCAATTATTCCCTCAAATAAGTTTTCGATTTCTTTCTCTGATTGTTCACTGTTGGCATTTAGAAATGCTACTGATTTTTGTGTGTTGATTTCGTATCCTGCAACTGTACATAATTTGTTTATTAGGTCTAATGGGATTTTTTGGTGAAGTCCTTAGGTTTTTCCAAATGTAACATCATAACATCTGCAAAGATGGATACATTGACTTCTTCATTTCAAATTGGGATATATCTATATCTATATCTATATCTATATCTATATATACATACAGATATATATGTGTATATATATCTATATCTATATATCTGTATGTGTATATATACAGATATATATACATATCTGTATGTGTGTATATATACACATATATATCTGTATATATATATATATACATACAGATATATAGATATAGATATAGATGTATAAAACCTGTCAGATTAACAGCAGACTTCTCAGCAGAGACCCTACAAGCCAGAAGAGATTGGGGTACTATCTTTAACCTCAGTAAACAAAAACAAAAAAAAATAAGCTAAGAATTTTGTATCCAGTGAAACTAAGCTTCATAAATGAAGGACAGATAAAGTCTTTTTGAGACAAACAAATGTGGAGACAATTCCCCACTACCAAGCCAGCACTGTAAGAAATGCTAAAAGGAGTTCTAAATCTTAAAACATAACTTTGAAATACACCAAAATAGAACCTTCTTAAAGCATAAACCTCAGAGGACCTATAAAACAATAACACAATTTTAAAAAAAGTACTCACACAACAATTAGCATGATGAAAAAAATCTCTCAACACTAACACTGAATGTAAGTAGCCTAAATGTTCCACTTAAAAAATACAGAATGGCAGGATGGACAAAAATCCAACCACCAACTATTTGCTGTCTTCAAGAGACTCACCTAACACATAAGGACTCATATGAACTTAAGGTAAAGGGGTGGAAAAAGATATTCCATGCAAATGAAAACCAAAAGCAAGCAGGAGTAGTTATTCTTATATCAGACAAAACAGACTTTAAAGCAACAAAAGTGAAAAAAGACAAAGAGGGGCATTATATAATGATAAATATATCAGTCCAACATGAAAATATCACAATCCTAAATATATATGCACTTAACACAGGAGCTCCCAAATTTATAAAACAATTACACTAGACCTAAGAAATGAGACACACAGCAAAACAATAACAGTGGGGAAATTCAATACTTCACTGACAGCACGAGACAGGTCATCAAGACAGAAAGTCAACAAAAAAACAACTGACTTAAAGTGTACCCTAGAACAAATGAACTAAACAGATATTTACAGAACATTCTACCCAACAACTGCAGAATATACATTTTTTATCAGCACATAGAACATTCTCCAAGATAGATCATATGATAGGCCACAAAACAAGTCTCAATAAATTTAAGAAAATGAAAATTCTATCAAGTTCTCTCTCAGACCACAGTGGAATAAGATTGAAAATTCACTCTAAAAGGAACCCTCAAAACTATACAAATACATGAAAATTAAATAGTCTTCTCCTGAATGATCTTTGAGTCAACAGTGAAAATCAAGATGGAAATTTAGAAAATTCTTTAAACTGGATGATAATAGTGATACAAACTATCAAACAGCAAAAGCAGTGCTAAAAGGAAAGTTCCTAACATTAAAGGCCTACATCAAAAAGTCTGAAAGCACAAATAGACCATCTAAGCTCACACCTAATGGAACTAGAGAAACAAAATCCAAACCCAAACCCAGCAGAAGAAAAAAAAAATCAAAGATCAGAGCAGAACTAAATGAAATTGAAACAAAAAATTAAAGATAAATGAAACAAAAAGCTGGTTTTTTGAAAATATAAACAAAATTAATTGACCATTAGTGAGATTAAGAAAATAAGAGAGAAGATACAAATAAATATATATAAATAAAATGGCTTTTATCCAAAGACAGGCAATAACATGCTGGCGAGGATGTGGAGAAACGGGAACCCTCATACACTCTTGGTGGTATGGTAAATTAGTACAACCACTAAAAAGAACAGTTGGGAGGTTCCTCAAAGAAACTAAAAATAGAGCTTACATATATGTGATCCAGCCACCCTACTGCTGGGTACATATCCAAAAGAAAATGGATATATCAAAGAGATAGCTGCACTCCTGTGTTTATTGCAGCACTATTCACAATAGCCAAGATTTGGAAGCAACTTATGTGTCCGTTGACAGATGAATGGATAAAGAAAAGGTGGCACATATACACAATGGAGTATTACTCAGTTATAAAAAGAATGAGATCCTTTCATTTGCGACAACTTAAATATAACTGGATGACATTATTTTAAGTGAAATGAGCCAGGCACAGAAGGACAAACTTTGCATGTTCTCACTTACTAGTGGGAGCTAAAAATTAAAACAATTGAACTCATGGAGATAGAGTAGAACCATGATTATAAGAGACTGGGAAGGATAATGGGTAGGGTAGGGAGGATGGGGATGGTTAATGGGTACAAAAATATAGATAGAGTCAATGAATAAGGTCTACTATTTGACAGTGCAACCAGGGTGACTATGGTCAACAATAATTTATTATACATTTTAAAAACTGAAAGAGTATAACTGGATCATTTGTAACACAAGGAAAAGATAGATGCTTGGGTTCATGGATTCCCTATTTATCCTGATGTGATTATTGTGCATTATGTGCCTGTATCAGAGTGTCTCATGTGCCTCATAAATATGTGTACCTACTCTGTACGCACAAAAATTAAAAATTGAAAATTAAAGCAAAAACAAAGTAAATAATGCATATTGATATATAGAATACTGAACTAAACTTCAAACCAAACTGTCAGGAATCCTATAACCCTTGGAAAAGAGAGGGAAAAAAAACAAGGAGAGCAGGAAGAGTGACAAACAGAAAGTGGTTGAGATTATAAATAAAGGAATGAATACAATTCAGATTTTTATAAGACATAATTGTTTACACAAAAGATCAAAGCTAGGATGATCTCAAGGTGAGGGAATTATAGAAAAGTCTAAAAGGCATTTTTTAGATAATGAAAAAGGGAATTTAGTGGGCTTTGTTCCATAATCCCAGGCTAAATGTTAGAAACAGACAATGAAGCCACAAATCTTTAATTTATTATGACTGCAACATTTGGCTTTAATCAGAACTGTATAATAGTAATGTCTTTGTGGAATGTTCCGGTATAAAAAGGAAGTGCAAATTGTGCTTAGGATCTACTTTCCACACTTCTGTCTAGTGAAATGGCAAGAAAATTGGGTAACAGTTCAACTGAACTAATAACTTATCACTTTTCAGAACTGTCATTCAATAAGAAGATCATTGTCAGGGGGACTGGAAAGGGTAGGCAGAATATATTTGCACACTGGTTGGGGGACAGGAGAATGCTAATTTCTATGAGGCAGCTTATCAACAGGCAGGCAGAGAGTCCCTAAAGTACCTCTGCCTTGACTCCTTTCTTATTTGCAGACCATGTAACTTAGTCCCTCAAATTGACATCCCCATACTTTCTCCTTCATTCTGGCTCAGGGAGGAGGCTGAGAAAATCTTTATTCCTGGCCTTTTCTCGTCCTTCGGAGCCTGGGTCCAGAGTTTAGTCCAGTGGCTGGCAACAAGTATATTCTCAATGAATGAGTGAATTTGAGGGTGAAAGCAAGATAATTCCTAAGCACAAATCATAGATTCAGAATCGGCAGGACCTATCTACATAATCTATTCAAATTGTCCACCCTGTGCAAGGCTCTGCACTTGAACATCTCTGCCAAGTGTTTATATGGTACATGTATGTGCACATACGATCAAGTTAGTTCAATGTAAAAGTATTGAATGTAGAAGTATGAAATTCTAGGGGAGAGAGTTTATGGAACCGGAGCTCCATAAACTCTCTCCACTAGAATTGAATAATGTCATTGATATGGAATCCCAAACTTCTGATTTAATTCCATTTTCCTTTCTTTATCTTCTTTCTTGAATAGTATTCACCAGATCTTAAGTCAGCCCAGAAATCTTAAAGGAAGTGATCTGCCTACCAATTTTCTAACCGTATACTCTTTCCAGCCTCCTAGAAGCTAGGTTGGCATTAGCGAGAAGGGAAAATAAGTGTAAAGTATTAGATCAGTTATACTTTCTTATGACTAAAATAATCCATCCCATAGCCAGAAGTCAAAGTTTAAAAAGCAATATGTTCTAAAGAATCAAACTGATCTTTACTAAATTTCAGCAAATAAATGGTGGTAATAAAAATTGTCCAGCTGTTCTTCATACTTTTTATGAGAACTTTGACTTTCCTGCTTATTTTTTACGAGGGTAATAAAATGCTTTTTGAAATAATATGCATTTGTCTGATAAAATTATTCATTGGGCATTCTCAAGTAGAACAATATAAAAATATTTATTTGCTTTCATCCTTTCCTATCACAAATATTCATGTTCTGTCTCTGTCACAATTTCCAAATATTAATTGTTGAATATTTCAGCCACTAGACACTGAGGTAGTTTAAAGTTGATTCTATGGTGAAATTAAAGAATCAACAATGATCTGATAAATCTAGGCTGGGAAAACAGACAAACAGGATTTTTCTAGGAAAAATTCCAGTTCGCTTAATTTTCTTCTTTTTTAATAACGCTGGAATAATATCATTTTATTTTAACTATTTTCAGGAATCTTCTTTTTCCTTTCCTCTCACCAAACTAGTCAAATATTAGTCTATATACTCATCTCTTCCTCATTATTTGCTCCATTTCTTAACCTTTCCCAATCAGGCTGTTGTTTTCACCAATCTACTGAAACCGCTTTTCTCCAAGGTCACTAATCATTTCCTTATTTTGAATTCAATGACCTTTTATCAGTTTTCAAAATTCCTGTATGGAACTAACAATGTTCATTGTCCTTGAAAATTCTTCCCTACCATGGTTTCTATTACAAGATGCTACTCTGATCTTTCCTAATGAATCCACGTGTTTCCTGCTGTTCCTGTTTCTTTCACCTCCTCCGAAATGTGAACATTCAGCAAAGTCCTGTCTTTGTTTTCAGCTCTCTTCTCATCTCATGCCATAATTCCTTTTTCCTAGTGAGTTCATTCTTTTCCATAGTTTGAAGTAGCACCTATACATAAATGACTCCCATATCTACTCTCCGTCCACCATCTTTCCCAAACTCTAGTCACACGTTTCCATCTAGCAGCTGCAAATCTCCACTTGGGTGGCCTGTTTTGCACTTGAATTTCAACAGGCCATCCACTCATATGTGAAAAAATATTTATTTAAAAACTTACCAGTTTATAATTATATTCTGTGTAATAAGAAGTGAAAGAGGTAGATGATAAGTTGCTACTCATCACTTTGTTGAATTTTGAAATAGTACTATTCTACAGTAGAGTTCTACAAAGTATTTTTAACTTTTGACGGGTCCATTAATAAATGAGGAGGAAAGTTAAAAAAAAAACTGTAACAATATACCCCTTGCCTCAAAATCTGTTCATTAGGAACAGAAATCTGCCTTATATAACTTGAAACAGTTGCTAAGAGGCAATTGCTAAAGCTTAAGGAAATATTTAGGAAAAATGCATAACGCTATTATGTGCAACATGCCATCTATCTTTTTATCATATGCTTTTACCTAGCATAATGACTCACCATTAATCATATGAAATAAAAATTGCTATATATTTTTACTAAAACATACACAAATTAATGCCTACCATTCCAACTTCAAATATTTGAAGAAAGTGTATGACATCAAGTGGTGGTACTTTGTGGAGGTGTGGGTGTAGAATTCGGTCATGATTACCTCAATCACTGGGAGATAGTCAACTATTTTTTTCTTATAACTGCTTTTGGAGAAATCCATGTTCTGACAATCCAAGGTTTCAAATTTCATTTTCTTCCCCAAAATCTCTTCTCTTACATGAGCTGTTGCACAAGACAGAATCTCATTTTTTGTGCTAATAGCTCCTTTTGAGCCATTCTCCATATATTTTAAGCAATATAATGTTTATGCACTCTATCGCTAGTTTTATACTTCAACGAAAAAGTACAATTCTAAGACTTTCCTACTCAACCACATTATGAAATGAAAAAAAGTCAATTCAATCTCTGTAAGTGAATAATTTTCAAAAAGTAATTAGACATTGATTTACAGTAAATCCACTTGGACATGTAGACATAATTTTGACAAGATCGTATTAGATGCTTTGAGTTTTCATGAAACCTAGAGTGACTGACTTTGGAAAGTGCACACATGCTGTGTGTCTGGTGGGACCTGTCCCAAGCAGTCCCTGGCATTTGGGCAGCATAAGGATCCCCTGGGATGTGTACTTTACTTCTCGAGTTCAACTCATGGGTTGAGTCAGATTAAATCCCAAGTGAGATATGCACTCCTCTATTAAGCTCCCCATACAGCACCTAATCATAGCCACACAATTTCTAATTGGATATAAACACACACTAAACAAAACTCATTCTTCAACTTTAACTTAAAGATCTAATAAAAAATCCTAATCTGATCTGATGGGCAATTTGTAAATGTTTAGTCACATTTTTTTCACAATATTTTTTACTTGCCTTTCAACATCCTCTTTTTCAAAAAAAAAGAATGAATTCAAAGCATGAATTCAAAGTCGAGTATAAAATTGTCCTTACTTTGGATCTTGTCACACTTCCATTTTGCTCACTTTAAAACCCACCAGGTGTTTGTCTTGTTACCTGGCAAATTGTCTCATCACCACCAACAACCCTGATTGTCCCCTCAACATTGTTTAGAAAGTTTAAATTTAACATCTTTATTCTTTTTTTTTTATTTTTTATTTTTTGTAGAGACAGGGTCTCACTTTGTTCCCCAAGCTGGTCTCAAACGCCTAGCCTCAAATGATCGTCCCCCGCTGGGCCTCCCAAGTTACTAGGATTACAGACATGAGCCATTGTGCCAGGTCTACCTTTACTCTTGTTTCAAGTAGAAATTCACTGAAAATATTTCACCCCAACTACTGAATCCTTTGAGAAGTTAAAATTATTTACCTGAATCACAAGACCAATTATGTTTTTTCTGAAAGTCTGAGATCAGATTTCATTATTTTTAGTAATAAATTTCCAACAACACTTTGTATTAGGGTTCTCTTAGAGGGGCAGAAGTAGTAGGATATATGTGTGTATATACATATATATATATGGAGTTTATTAAGTATTAACTTACATGATCACAAGGTTCCACAATAGGCTTTCTGCAAGCTGAGGATCAAGGAGAGCCAGTCCAAGTCCCAAAACTGAAGAACTTGAAGTCCGACGTTCAAAGGCAGGAAGCGTCCAGCACGGGAGAAACATGTAAAGTGGGAGGCTAGGCCTGTCTCTCTTTTTCACGTTTTTCTACCTGCTTTATATTTGCTGGAAGCTGATTAGATTGTGCCCAGCAGATTTAGGGTGGATCTGCCTTCCCCAACTCACTGACTTTTTTTTTTTTTGAGACGGAGTCTCGCTCTGTAGCCCAGGCTGGAGTGCAGTGGCACGATCTCGGATCACTGCAAGCTCCGCCTCCCGGGTTCACACCATTCTCCTGCCTCAGCCTCCCGAGTAGCTGGGACTACAGGCGCCCGCCACCACGCCCGGCTAATTTTTTTTGTATTTTCAGTAGAGACGGGGTTTCACCCTGTTAGCCAGGATGGTCTTGATCTCCTGACCTCGTGATCCGCCCGCCTCGGCCCCCACAAAGTGCTGAGATTACAGGCGTGAGCCACCGCGCCCGGCCTCAAATGTTAATCTCTTTTGGCAACACCCACACAGACAGTACCCAGGATTAATACTTTGTATCCCTCAATCCAATCAAGTTGACACTCAGTATTAACCATCACACACTTCTAGAAGCTTTCTTTCATGATACTCTTCATTTTAAGTTACTCATATTCAGCTTGTGAGAATGATGAGAGGCAAAGAAAGTTTTATGACCTACTCAAATCACACAGGCAATAGCCAATAAAACATATCTCACCCTTACAGCTAAAAAAGCTTTAAAATCCCTTCAAAAAACAATTCATCTTATCTACTTTTCATTAGATTGCAATAAAATGATTTTCTTAAATTGAGATAAAGGTACATGTTCTGCATTCTAACTAATAGTATAGGCTGAGCTCTTATAACTTTGATTGTCTCCTCTGATAAACTCAAGTTCTCCACTTGATGTAACAGACCACCAGAATTATCCTTAGTATTTCTATAGACCACGTATTGCTATAGACCAGTTAATTAAGAAGTATTTTTCATGGTTTTTCAAGTTCATCAGAAAAGAAGTATTACAACGACTTGTAAATCAGTTTCAGAGCTGCATTCAGAGTGGGTAATTAGTGAATATCATCAAGTGGGAAGAATAGCATAGGGCTTCAGATCATGGGCCCTGGAATCAGACAAACCTGGGGGGTACTTTACTAGCTCTGTGACCTGGCTAGTTCTCTGAGCCTCTCTTCTTAAAAACAGAGATAATAAGAGTACTAGCTTCATTGAATTGTCAGAAAAATGAAACAATACATGTAAAGTTCTTACCGGTGTGCCTGACTCAATGAATTATAGCTCTTAATATTATTACCCACTAAAGCTGACAATTTGCATGAGAAATTAAAGTAAGATGATTGATCATATGTTTAATAAATTAAGTAATTATATATGCTTGTCTTCCTTCTAAATCAAATTTGATATAACATACTGAAGAGAACGGTCTCCAATATCATACAACTACTATTAAATATATATTTACAGATAATTTTAACAGAAAAACATGCTGCACTTATAATGAAACAACTGGCTGAAAGGTGATGGTGAAACAGAAAATTTTCTCATGTAGTAAATGTTACCTAAGATGAATATTCTCTGGTGTTTGAAAGGTGAAATTTTATTTGTCTTGACTCATTTTTGGAAATCCCCCAAGCAGAAAGGCTTGGCTAGACCCTAACTCTAGGATAGGGTCTCATTTCCAAAAAGGACTAAGCCAAAGGGACAGAAATCAAGGACTAGAGTCTAAAACCAGAGTTTACAAGTTATAGCAGTACTGCCTTCCTGGTTAATTTAGATTTACAGAATCATAGAAACCACCTTTTAATTATGTTGGTCTATAGCCACATAACATGCAAGAGAATCAGTCATAAAAATTCAGTATGTAACACAGGCCAGCATAAGAAAGTACAGACAAATATTATTTTTAAGTGTGCCCTCGATGAATTCATTTGATTTTAAAAAAAGAACCACATTTTAAAAGAACATGGTGCTACTATCCTCCCTACACCCAGCCTGCCCACCAGTGCCAACTCTCATCTCACTCTCGAGTACGGGTTATGAATGAGAACACATTTGCCTACTTAGACATCATCCCCTCTTGAATGGCAATTGTATTTCAAAATCATATAACAGGATTTTTATGTAGTATTGACAATTTCTATTCAATACCTATAAACAGAGGATGTGTAAATAACACAGTGTTTAGGAGTGGGTTCTGAAGTCCGAACAACCAGAGTTCTGATCACAGCCCTGTCATTTCTAGCTCTTCAGTCTTGACCAATGTACCTATGTTTCTGGATCTTAGAGATACCCCCTCCAATTAGGTAAAATGAATCTAATAGTAGTTATTACTATGTTAAAATATTATTGTAAAGATAAATTAAGTAAAATAATGTAGGTAAAGCCCTGGGCACCTTGCCTGACATATACAATGCATAAATAAGTGTTGTCTTTACTATTACTAAAGTCAAATCTTAGCAGCTGAGCATGGTGGCTCACGCGTGTAATCCCAGCACTTTGGAAGGTCGAGGAGGGCGGATCACTTTAGCTGAAGAGTTTGTGACCAGCCTGGGCAACGTGGTGAAAACCTGTCTCTACCAAAAATACAAAAGTTATCTGGGCCTGGTGGTGCATGTCTGTGGTCCCAGCTACTTGAGAGGTTGAAGCAGGAAGATCGCTTGAGCCTGGGAGGCAGAGATTGCAGTGAGCCAAGATCATGCCATCACACCACAGCCTGGGTGACAGAGTGAGACTCCGTCTTAAAAAAAAAAAAAAAAAAAAAAACTTAGTTATGCTAACGAAAGGGCAATACAACAACAAAAAACCTAGCATCATTGAACACTTAAATATACAGTCTTTGAATTTGTTATGATATTTTTAAACTTATATTTGAATTTTTTGCCTGATGTTCTGGCAATCTGCAAGATTTCAAGCAAACCTAATAAAACCAACAGGCAAGACCTGGGCTAGAAAAAAATCTCCTTGCTTAAAATTCTTCTCTGCTGCCCAAGTGTAAAAGGTCAGGTTTGTCTCTCATATTAATGAAAACAGTCATCATAAATGAACCGCCTCGTCTCTCTAAATGTACTTTTGTTTAACCTTGGTCTGGATTGAAGAAAGTAATTAAAGACTGGGTTTAAAAGGCCTCCTAGTGGGCCGCAAAGTAGATCTGAAAGCAAACAGATGGTCAGATAGTTAACCAGCAGCTTCTCTCTTAATCTGTTTACTTGTATCAGTAAGAAATGAAATACAAAATTCAACCTTGATAATTCCATTAAAGCAGGAAATGTTTTTGTAAATGATACTTGGTTAATTGCACAATATATATTTCATAAAAGATTTTAAAGATTAGCTACAGAGAACATTCAATCTGATTGACATTTGAGGTTTATTTATTTTTTCCCTAGGCTAACCCTGGTGGAGGGTTTATTGATCAAAACCCTTCCTCAACAAAGTAACTAGTCTTTGTGCTAGAAATAAGTCCATTTTATCTTTCTCTTCTACCAAATAATGATTTTTTTTTTTGAGACGGTGTCTCGCTCTGTCACCCAGATTGGAGTGCAGTGGCACGATCTCGGCTCACTGCAACCTCTGCCTTCCGGGTTCAGGCCATTCTCCTGCCTCAGCCTCCCAAGTAGCTGGGACTACAGGTGCCCGCCACCACGCCCGGCTATTTTTTTGTTTTTGTATTTTTAGTAGAGACGGGGTCTCACCGTGTTAGCCAGGCTGGTCTTGAACTCCTGACCTCGTGATCCGCCTAGCTCGGCCTCCCAAAGTGCTGGGATTACAGATGTGAGCCACCGTGCCCGGCCCAGATAATTAATCTTTTACTAAACTTTCACAATATATTCTTCCCTACAACCATGTAACATTTAAGCATCTTTTTAAATGCCCAAGAATCACCATCACTGATCACTGATCAGCCTCTTTTTGGGCCAAATTCTTCCAATGTTTCTGTGAAATTTAGGAAATCAGCCATCAAATACTAAGCATCAATTTGAAAGCACTGATCTTGAGTCTCCACATTTGCCATGTGAAAGCTGCCATTTTCCACTGTTAGGGACCTCCAAAAAGTATGTCCCAGTCATTTGGTGAACAGTTTCTAATTTTAGTCTTCTAAGTGAACATCTTCTATGAACACCTTTAAACAACATTCAAACAAACTTTGGAAGATATGACAAAAATCCTTGCATACACAAAATCAATGTTTAATGTATAAATACAGACAGAGCAGCAAAACATTCTGCGCCTAAAGTACAATTATTTGAGAACCACATAATGAAGAACTGTGTCTTGCTCTTCTATATTATCCAGATGAAGAAAATACTGTGACTAGTGACTAATTACACAATCCAGAACATTGTTTTATCTGTTGTTATAAATTGTGCAGAGTACAACCATAGAGAAAAATTATGTATATTTGTGAACAATCCAAGCTACAACTAGCTTCTGTTTTATCAGTTATATAAAATACATCAATTTTTAAAAGTTACTTCACAATTAAAACCCTAAGAAATCATCTATTTCCCACAATCTTAAAATTTCTACACCAAGGCACAAATAGAATGCATAGATGCCATGAAATGGAGATCATTATGGGTCTTGGGGAAATATGTATAGGGAAAAAACTCCCAAACCAGTTAAAATTCTCCAAGCTATCATCTCTCTAGCAATTCTCATCCTAGGCCAATGTTGATTTTTGTTAAGAAGTTATTGCAATTTATTAACTTATATAGGCTCTGAGATTACTATTCATTTTCCATTAAATGTAAATTTACAAGGCATTACAATCTCAAGAAACAAAACGTGGCATATACCTGTGTCACAGTGAGTTAAGACATGTATAAACAATTCTGAACAGGCAGAAATCACTTCATATAGACAGACTACTTGGAAGCTGCATTCTTGTTAAATGGTTCCCATCAAACTAAACAGTATTAAGGCCTGAATTTTATACCTTGACCTATACCAGACCAGTTTAGGCTTTCCAACTGTGTAGGTCTTCTCTATCTTCTTGGCCTTGGGTGAACAGTCACTTACCCTACTTACAGACATTCCCTTTTAGACACAATATCCCTCCTACACACTAGCTGCCCATTTCTCTATTCCCCTATATGCACATGCCCAGGCAACTCTTCTTCCACTTACAGGACTTACTTCCTCCCCTACCTCTTACTCGTGTTCAAATTTATTTCCTCATGCCTACTAGTTGCCATAAATCACTGGGAGGATGCATTTCTTGGTGGTTAAGTACATATTCTTTGGATTCAAACATCTTGCTTGGATTCAAGCTCTATGGCTTACCAACTGTGTAACCTTGAGAAAGTTATTTACTCTTTGAACCTGTATACTGTATTTCCTTCTCTGAAAAACAGAGATAATCATAGTGCTTAATTCAAAGGATTATTTTTAAAAATGAGATAGTATCTGACATACTTAGGGGCTTCTACTGACTATCATTATTATGGTTACCATCAAGAAGTCCATTACATTGGTCTGGGCAAAGATTTTTTGGGTAAAACCTCAAAAACAGGCAATGAAAGTAAAAATAGACAAATGGAACTATATTAAGCTAAAAAGCTTCTGCACAGCAAAGGAAACAATCAATAGAGTAAGGAGAAACCTAAAAATGGGAGGAAATATTTTCCAACTATCCATCTGACAAGAGATTAATATGTGGAATATATAAGGAAGTCAGTAGCAAAAAAGAAACCCACAAAAAAACAAATAATCCAATTTTTTTAAATGGCAAATGATTTCAATAAACATTTCACAAAAGAAGACATACAAATCGCAAACAGGTATAAGAAAAAATGTTCCGCATCACTAACCATCAGGAAAATGCAAATCAAAACTATAATGAGATAACATCTCACTCCAATTAAAATGGCTATTACCAAAAAGATAACAAATGCTGGTAAGGGCACTGAGAAAGCGGAATACTAGTACACTTTTGCTGGGAATGTAAATTAGTACAGCTGCTATGGAAAACAGCACAGAGATTTCTCAAAAAAACAAAAATAGAACTACCACATGATCTAGAGCTGCCATGGAAAACAGCATAGAGGTTCCTCAAAAAACAAAAATAGAACTATCACATGATTTAGCAATCTCACTTTTGGGTATATATCCAAAAGAAAGGATATCAGTATATCAAAGAAATATCTGCACTCCCATGTTTATTAAAGAACTATTCAAAATAACTATGATATGTGGCTAAGTGTCCATCAACGGTGAATGAATAAAGGAAATGTGATATATATATATATATATATATATATACACACACACACACACACATATATATACACACACTTATATATACACACATATATATACACACACAAAATAAAATATTATTCAGCCATAAAAATGATATTCTGTTATTTGTGACAACATGGATGAGCCTGGAGGACATTATTTTAAGTGAACTAAGACATAACACAGAAAGACAAAAGACATACCACACGTTCTCACCCATGTGGGAGCTAAAAAAGTCGATCCCATGAAGATATTGGGTAGAATGGATGGTGGTTACCAGAGGCTGAGAAGGGTAGGGGGAAAGAAGGATTAAGAGAGGTTGGTTAATGAGTACACAAATACAGTTAGATAGAAGGAATAAGATCCACTGTTCAATTGCACAATAGGGTGGCTATAGTTACCAATATAATTTACTGTATAGCTAGAAAAAACAGCTAGAATGTTTGGAATGTTCCCACCACAAATAAATGATAAATGTTTGCGGTAACGGATATCCTAATTACCCTAATTTGATCATCACACATTGTGTGCATGTATCAAAAGATCATATGTCCCCCATAAATATGCACAATTATGATATATCAATAAAAATAAAAAATGAAATCCATTGCAAAGACCAACATACTTGTTTTCATTTCTAAACTTTCAAGAAGCAAGTGCTACTCTTCACTATTAGGCCACTTTTTTTGTTTTGTTTTGTTTTTGAGAGAAAGTCTCGCTCTGTTGCCCAGGCTGGATTGCAGTGGTGCGATCTCTGCTCACCGCAAGCTCCGCCTCTTGGGTTCACGCCATTCTCCTGCCTCAGCCTCCCGAGTGGCTGGGACTGCAGGCGCCCGCCACCATAATAAGTTAACATTGTCTTGCCAATTATCACAGATCCAGATCCCCCACTCTGCCCAGTATAACCAGTATAACATCTGTTGTTTTTTTTTTTAATGACAACCAGTAGGAAGATTAAGAAACAGTCAGCTACCACCAATCCAAAGCAAAGAAGCTTTTAACTGTTCTTCAGACAACTAAACTTAGTCACTTATTGAAGTATCTCACTATGTGCAATTGTAGGACTCCATCAGGATATTTGCTCAAAACTTTCTAACTTATGTATTAAAACAAACAGGGCATCAATCTTAAAGGAAAACTTTAGTACAGCAAACTGAAAAGTGCCTTTCTGAAGTAAATAATCACCACTCCATTCATGTTACAAAGAAGTACTCACTTTACACTGTTTTGGTATTATTTAAAAGTGTTGTAATAGTATAATAAAGCAAGGATTTATTTTGGCATTATGAAGTAGAATTTTGATAACAGGTTCATTGAACTATAATTACTACAGTAGATAAATTTCTAATAAATTTCTAACTACTCATGACAAAAAATTGAAATAAAATACAAATACCATAAACATCTGCCATTTGCATGGTCTTCAACAATAAAGTCCAACAAAGATGGGAAGAATAGACACTGAAGACTACAGAGGAGGGAGGGAGGAAGGCAAAGGTTGTAAAATTACCTATTGGGTACTACGCCCACTACCAGGGTGAGAGGTTCAATGGTACCCCAAACCTTGCACAGTATACCCATGCATCAAATCTGCACATGTACCCTCTGAATCTAAAATAAAAGTTGAAATCTAAATAAAAAAAAAAAGGAGTCCAATAAAGGAAATAATAGAAGACAGCAGCCATTTCTAAGGCTCTTGGAAACTTAAGACTTAACAAAGAGAGGTGCAGTTATTCTTACTTGAATAGAAATTCTGAAAGCAGTTTCTTGTTGAATCTACTTTTAAAGAAGGGGTAGAGGAAGGAGAAAGCAAAGAATAAATAACAGTATTGAAACTGTATGACTCCCAAAGCAAAACTAACTGCCTGATCTGTTCAGTCTCATTAGGGGTTTAACTAAAGGCATTAAGTTGGACTTTACAATTATTGGATTGAGTTGAGACTCTGAGCAACTCAAATTTTACTTTGAAATATTAGACAACATGTATGGAAAATAATAAAGCAAGAGGCTCATAAAATTAGGTCCAAAGGAAATATAAAAGGTGTTCTTTTTTTTAACCTAAACTTATTCAAAAAATGTAAGATTAAATTTTCTGATATTCCAAAATTGCATAAACATATCCACACATGGTGGCCAGAGAAGACAAAGTTCAAATATCAAGGTTCTTGTGATTTAACATAACCTCCACTTCCATTCCACATCCTCTCAGGTGTAAATAAACAAGCCAAAAAATAAAAACACACAACAACCTGGATTAGCTGCTGCTCTAAAGCTCAAGAAGAGGGAAGGGGTTCCTATACCCTACAATCTGAACCCACACATCTGTTCTTGCCACTGTCTGCCTTTCTCTTGAGTTGTAAAAAGCAGAAGCACTTTCATTTATCATGGATATACACTCATCTTGCACCCCAGTTTATCATATTCTCCCGACAGCTGCTGAAAATTTGTTATTCTAAATTAAGAGTAAGTGAATCCATGAAAGAGAAAGTCCTATCATTTGAAGCAGCAGCAACTCAGGCTGCCACTACACAAGAAGCCACTGAGCTCCCTATCCAGTTCTCAATATACTTGAAGCAGTGAGAGAAATTTAAAAGTAAAATATTTTGAAAGAATAGAAACAGTCAAAATAAGGGACAATATGGGGGGAAAACTGAATCTCGTGTCATATTAAGTTAAAAAAAAATTTACGTCATTGTTACCAACTTCCCCTCCCAATTTGTCTAGTTCTAACAGGCCTTCAAGCTCAAGTTAACCACTTTCTTCTACACACTCTCAAAATAACTCTATTACCAGGGTCTCACTCACCCAGAATAATTACAATGCCTCGGTAGGCCTCCACTCAATCCCCACCAGTTACAGCATGTGTACCCCCATCCTTTACAGAAGTGCACTCCTCCTTGTCTCAGTACTTAGGGCGTATTCATCAAATGTCTCACTCTTGAAACTCACCAGTGTGCGATTTTACTTGACTTCACGTAACCCTAAAGACCGTATAGCACCATCTCCCATCTCCCAAAACTTGGTAGCTTTCGTTTTCCTTCAAAGCAGAAATGTGCCCCCCAACGTCACGAAGCAAACAAAGCTGAACTCTATGTGGAAAAAAAAAAAAATGAAATCGATGCAACAAAGGGAAAAAAGGGAAGAAGAAGGGTGGGATCGGGGATGCATGAGTCTTCCAAAGGAGAAGCTGCCAGAGGAACTTCTGCATTTTAATGGTTCTGGGGCAGCAGAGGACTGGTGTGTAGGAAAACAACAAAGGTGGACTCCCCACTCTCCTTACCGCTGTAGAGCCAGAGGAAGATGCAATATATACACGGATCACCATCCTGGGAACAGCGGCTGCGGTTGTTTGGGTCCTGAAAAGGGCTGTGGAGCAGCTGCAGCAATGGCTGGAATCCAGCTAGGGGCTGAAACAGCGGTTGGCAGAGAAGGGTGGGGGAAGGTGGAAGGAGAACTCGCCAGAGCCCCGCCTCCGCCTTTAGCAGCTTCCACCGAGCTCTCTAAGCGCTGCAGTTCCAGCCCAAAACCCCGGAAGGAACAGGCTGTTTGCATCAATTCTATTTTTTTTTAATAGGGAATCTCGAATAGCACCGCGAGATCTGTTGAAACATTGATTTTTGACGATTCCTTCCCTGAGAAGAGGGCGAGGAGAAGAAGAAAGAAAAAGGAGAACTGAATTGAATTAGATTAGCATGAAGGACCTTTTCACGCGGAGACTAAAAGTACTGCGCATAACTTCCTGCTCAGAAATATATGCAAATAAGAAGACAGATCCTGAAAGAGCAAGCTGTATGTTGAAAACCCATGTTCTCAAAGCCTTGCGCATTTTAAGATTCCTATTACGTAGTGATTTTTCTGATCTTAGCTCGTTGTAGGAATTAGGCACTAAAGTACTGAGCAATGCTGCAGAGTTTTGAAGGAAAGTTTCAGGTTTCCTTAAGCCCAGAAATGGCAGGATTGGTTTTCTTTTTGAATTTTGTGTTTTGTTAAATTAGGGAACCCTGCTTCCGTGGGAATTTGCAGGAGGCCTGATTGGCAAGTTTAAGAATGAAGGAATAAATTACAAAGAAAAGATTGAAAATATTGTGTAAAAAGATGGATGATTTTTGTTTTGTTTTGCTTTTTAACTGACTGAAGTAAGGGATTTGGGAGAACATATTGCAGATGTTGAAATGGTGAAGAGAGAGATCAGATGGTTATTTGTAGCTCTAAGGAAATGAGCAAACAGTTAATAATGTCCAGAGACAGACCATATACTTCAAAGTGTAGTTTTAGGTTCCCAGATTATGTTAAATGAACAGAAAAAAAGGAATTTGCAAGATGAATGAGAGTGGAGAGGAGTCAGTCGCTTGTCCTACTTCTTTTCCTTTGCTGTTTTTCCACTGTCTCCAGTCTAGTGGTTTACTGTCTTTGCCTAGGCTCAGTGCTTACAATAGCTTTGTTAACTGTTCCCTACCCACAGGTTTTCCCTTCTCCAATCTGTCTTAAATACTAATTCCAAATTAATCTCTTTACATGTTGTCCTTAAAACAACCTCAAGAGGTGGGTACTATTACATTAATTTTACAGATGAAGAAACTGAAACTCAGAAAAATAGTTTTCCTAAAATCATATGGTTAGTACATTCCAGAGTTAGGAACTCCAGAGGCCACCTTCTTATTTTTTTTTAATTATACTTTAAATTCTAGGGTACATGTGCACAACGTGCAGGTTTGTTACATAGGTATACATGTGCCATGTTGGTTTGCTGCACCCATCAACTCGTTGTTTACATTAGGTATTTCACCTAATGCTATCACTCCTCCAGCCCCCCACCCCCCGACTGGCCCCGGGGTGTGATGTTCCCTGTCCTGTGTCCATGTGTTCTCATTGTTCAACTCCCACATATGAGTGAGAACATGTGGTGTTTGGTTTTCTGTCCTTGTGATAGTTTGCTTAGAATGATGGTTTCCAGCTTCATCCATGTCCCTGCAAAGGACATGAACTCATCCTTTTCTATGGCTGCATAGTATTCCATGGTGTACATGTGCCACATTTTCTTAATCCAGTCTATCACTGGGACATTTGAGTTGGTTCCAAGTCTTTGCTATTATGAATAGTGCTGCAATAAACATACATGTGCATGTGTCTTTATTATAGAAAGATTTATAATCCTTTGGGTATATGCTCAGTAATGAGATTGCTGGGTCAAATGACATTTCTAGTCTAGATCCTTGGGGGATCGCCACACTGTCTTCCACAATGGTTGAACTAATTTACACTCCCACCAACAGTATAAAAGCATTCCTATTTCTCCAAACCCTCTCCAGCATCTGTTGTATGATTGCCATTCTAACTAGCATGAGATGGTATTTCATTGTGGTTTTGATTTGCATTTCTCTCATGACCAGTGATGATGAGCATTTTTGCATATGTCTGTTGGCTGCATAAATGTCTTCTTTTGAGAAATGTCTGTTCATATCCTTTGCCCACATTTTGATGGGGTTGTTTTTTTCTTGTAAATTTGTTTAAGTTCTTCGTAGATTCTGGATATTAGCCCTTTGTCAGATGAGTAGATTGCAAAAATTTTCTCCCATTCTGTAGGTTGCCTGTTCACTCTGATGATAGTTTCTTTTGCTGTGCAGAAGCTCTTTAGTTTAACTAGATCCCATTTGTCTATTTTGGCTTTTGTTGCCATTGCTTTCAGTGTTTTAGTCATGAATCTTTGCCCATGCCTATGTCCTGAATGGCATTGCCTAGGTCTTCTTCTAGGGTTTTTATGGTGTTAGGTCTTACATTTAAATCTTTAATCCATCTTGAGTCAATTTTTGTATACGGTGTAAGGAAAGGATCCAGTTTCAGCTTTCTACATATGGCTAGCCAGTTTTCCCAGCACCGTTTATTAAATAGGGAATCCTTTCCCCATTGCTTGTTTTTGTCAGGTTTGTCAAAGGTCAGATGGTTGTGATGTGTGGTGTTATTTCTGAGACCTCTGTTCTGTTCCATTGGTCTATATATCTGTTTTGGTACCACTACCATGCTGTTTTGGTTACTGTAGCCTTGTAGTATAGTTTGAAGTCAGGTAGCATGATGCCTCCAGCTTTGTTCTTTTTGCTTAGGATTGTCTTGGCCATGTGGGCTCTTTTTTGGTTCCATATGAACTTTAAAGTAGTTTTTTCCAATTCTGTGAAGAAAGTCATTGGTAGCTTGATGGGGATAGCATTGAATCTATAAGTTACTTTGGACAGTATGGCCATTTTCACGATATTGATTCTTCCTATCCATGAGCACGGAATGTTCTTCCATTTGTTTGTGTCCTCTTTTATTTCATTGAGCAGTGGTTTGTAGTTCTCCTTGAAGAGGTCCTTCACATCCCTTGTAAGTTGGATTCCTGGGTATTTTATTCTATTTGTAGCAATTGTGAATGGGAGTTCACTCATGATTTGGCTCTCTGTTTGTCTGTTATTGGTGTATAGGAATGCTTGTGATCTTTGCACATTGATTTTGTACCCTGAGACTTTGCTGAAGTTGCTTATCAGCTTAAGGAGATTTTGGGCTGAAACAATGGGATTTTCTAAGTATACAATCATGTCATGTGCAAACAGGGACAATTTGACTTCCTCTTTTCCTAATTGAATACCCATTCTTTCTTTCTCTTGCCTGATTGCCCTAGCCAGAACTTCCAACACTATGTTAAATAGGATTGGTGAGAGAGGGCATCCTTGTCTTGTGCCAGTTTTCAAAGGGAATGCTTCCAGTTTTTGTCCATTCAGTATTATATTGGCTGTGGGTTTGTCATAAATAGCTCTCATTATTTTGAGATATGTTCCATCAATACCTAGTTTATTGAGAGTTTTTAGCATGAAGGGCTGTTAAATTTTTTCGAAGGCCTTTTCTGCATCTATTGAGATAATCGTGTGGTTTTTGTCATTAGTTCTGTTTATGTGATGGATTACATTAATTGATTTGCATATATTGAACTAGCCTTGCATCCCAGGGATGAAGCCAACTTGATCGTGGTGGATAAGCTTTTTGATGTACTGCTAGATTCTGTTTGCCAGTATTTTACTGAGGATTTTCACATCGATGTTCATCAGAGATATTGGCCTAAAATTCTCCTTTTTTGTTGTTGTGTCTCTGCCAGGCTTTGGTATCAGGATGCTGCTAGCCTCCAGAGGCCACCTTCTTAACTATTACTGTTAACTCACTGCCTGGAAGAGTGAAAGTACTAAAAAAAAAGTTAGCAATTTTTTCATCCTAAAACACCACTTTCTTATATTACTGAAGACAACGTAGGCAGAAATACTTAAATTAGCTCTCCATTGACTATCGAACTAAACCTAAATTATGTTGCTAAACAGTTTTCACCATAATCTAGGCCCACACTATTCATACAATCTTACTTAGTGCTCCCCCAAACTAACTTCCCTATGTACGTAATCATTGTTGACTACCTGCTGCAATCATCATGCTTATGATCACTCTCATGCCTTTGCTCTTCCTGTTTCTTTCTTCACCTTCTCCCCACATTCTCATAACCTTTTCTGCCCTCTCCACTTATCCAACTCTTGCCTTTGCTAGACACAACTCAAAATCTTTATACAAATAATCAGGCAAAAGTAAGTCAGCATGATCTAGTCACCCTCCTCATTGCCAACATCAGGGCTACTGCTATTGCACTTTTCGGCCTATGCAACAGGAGACTCTTTCTTCTGTTTTTTTTTTTTCATTTTGCAAAATGAACATAATTTGTCTTATACTACCGTAGTATGACATCCCTTTCCCTTCTCAAGTGGACACTGCTATGCTCTCACCCCTCACTCAGAACTAAGAGTCTCCAGGTGAGTTATTTTCATTTGCCACACCAAAAGTAGCTGAATTTTCTTGATCAGCAAATACCCCCTCAGCAGAAGCACTCTTTATCATCACTGAGCTCTTTGGAGTTGTAATTCACCCTCTTTTCTCGCCCTGATAATTCCTCACTTTCCTCTTGAGGTCTTTGATATTTTTCATGTATTATAAAATACCTTCCAATATTTTAAATTCCCTTTATCAAGAGAGTTCCAGATCACCTATCCCCACCTTTTCCAGAAGCAGAAATTTTACCTACTTTTAAACTTTTGAGAAAGTTAAAATATTATTTACCTACAAAACACTACAAAATTATGGTGTAGAAATGTTTAATGAACTGTCTGAAAAACATTATCATGTCAACTTCATTGAATATTAAGTTTACTATTTGTAAAAATTTCATTTCATTTGAAAACAATTTGGAGTTTACATTTTTATCTCACATAAGCAGAATTCCTGTTTCTGCAGAGAAATCACTGTCGAGCATATTTTAATGAATTGCTTGTGGCTGAAAATTTTTTAAATTTTAAAACAAAGTTATACAAATTTTAGAATATGCTTAATATTTATATTTAAGTGGGATTATAAGTACATTTGCATTTTTATGTTTGATACACTGTGAAGTGGTGTGTATTAGTCTGTTTCACACTGCTATAAAGAAATACCAAAGACTGGGTAATTTATAAAGGAAAGAGGTTTAATTGACTCACAGTTCTGCATAGCTGGGGAGGCCTCAGGAGACTTACAATCATGGTGGAAGGCAAAGGGGAAGCAAGCTTGGACCTTCTCACATGGCAGCAGGAGACAGAAGAGGGAGGAGCAACGGGGGAAGAGCTCCTTATAAAACCATGAGATCAGCTGGGCACAGTGGCTCACGCCTGTAATCCCAGCACTTTGGGAGGCTGAGATGGGCAGATCATGAGGTCAGGAGATTGAGACCATCTTGGCCAACAAGGTGAAACCCCATCTCTACTAAAAATACAAAAATTAGCCAGGCGTGGTGGTGGCCGCCTGTAATCCCAGCTACCCAGGAGGCTGAGGTGGGAGAATTGCAGGGAGAGGTTGCAGTGAGCCGAGATCACGCCACTGAACTCCAGCCTGGCGACAGAGCTAAACTCCTCAAAAAACAAAACAAAACAAAAACAAAAAACAAACAAACAAAAAAAACCCATGAGATCTCATGAGAACTCATTCACTATCACTAGACCAGCATGGGGGAAACCACCCCCATGATCCAGTCACCTCCCACCTGGTCTCTCTCTAGACATGTGGGGATTATGAGGATTACAATTCAAGATGAAATTTGGATGGGGACACAAAGCGTAACCAAATCTTCCCGTTTCCAAAGTAAGAATGTCTGGAGTCTTGGTGGTCTTCAAAGAGCCTTGATTTTTAGAAGAACCAACAACATCACTCAATGATGCCCTAGTGCCCACCTTCCTGCCTCCTCTGGCAGATGGGAGACCAGTAATATAAAATTTTTTCTCTATTAACACACAACACATTAACACATAAATATGTAAATCACATACAAAATTACCGCACATTGGAGGATATACTGTTGTTCTCTTCAAGTGCCAGCAGAAGGGGAGTATCTGCAGAGGAGATAGGGTAGGTTAAGTAACAGAGTGTTATGCTTAAGAATTCTTATCCTGTCTCAGTCACCTGCTATGTAGTGATGTGCATCAGCAGGAAGCAACATTGACTCCTTACCAGAGGGAGTCCTGAAGTATTGTGTTCAGAGGTCTGATCTCATCCCAGATGGTACGTTCATGATTAGAGCCACTAGAGGGCGCCACTCAGCTATAGAAAAACAATGTGGAAGGCTTTGAAGCGCCGGACTTAAGAGATGTAATTTTTATTAGCTCTTTACAGAATTCCAGCAGAGGGATAGAATGTCATTTCATGCGTTGTCCCTGAGCAGTAACAGTAAATGGTCTCAAGGAAAAATAAGGCTCTACTCAGGAGCATCCCCTATTTCCAAAACCTTCTGATAGTTTGAGTAAGGGTTACTGCCCCACTCTTCCGTTGGGTATCACTGACTCCAGAGGAGGAGCGAATAAATTTGGTTATCATTGGAAAGAGACAGGATAGGGATAGGGTGGAATTTTAAACCCCTTAAAACCTCAGAAGTCACTCTAACCCTCTGTGATGGTTAATACTGAGTGTCAACTTGAATGGATTGAGGATGCAAAGTATTGTTCCTGGGTGTGTCTGTGAGGGTGTTGCCAAAGGAGATTAACATATGAGTCAGTGGACTGGGAGATGCTTACCCACCCTCAGTCTGGCTGGGTACCATCTAATCAGCTTCCAGCACTGCTAGCATAAAAGCAGGCAAAGGAACATGGAAGGACTAGACTGGCTTAGTCTCCCAGCCCACATCTTTCTCCCGTACTAGATGCTTCCTGCCCTTGAACATTGGAATACAAGTTCTTCAGCTTTGGGACTCTTGGACCTTCGACCACAGACTGAAGGCTGCACTGTCGGCTTCCCTATTTTTGAGGTTTTGGAACTTGGACTGGCTTTCTTGCTCCTCAGCTTGCAGACAGCCTAATGTGGGACTTCATCTTGTGATCGTGTGAGTCAATGCTTCTTAATAAATTCCCCTTTATATATACACCTATCTTATTAGTTCTGTCCCTCTAGAAAACCCTGACTAATACGCTCTCTATCTTCCCCCCACATCCTACCAGTAATAACTCCATAGAGTGGTTGTCCAGAAATTACTTATGAACACCTCCAGTTACAGTGAGCTGAAAATTCCAGAGGCATTTCCATTCTGCTTTTAGTCAGCTTAAAACATTAGAACATTATTTTCTGAGATTAAGCTGAGAACTGTTTCCTTTCATGTTTCTTTGATTCTAATAATTACCCATTATAAACTCATCTTTATCCTTGTAATATGAAGCCTTCTCTTCTCCAACTTAGTATTTCCTGTTTCTCTAGCCATTCTTCATAAGCTGTGATCTCTAGAGGTGTCACTAAATATGTTTCAGTTTGTCAGTTTCTCTCTTCTACAAAAGGTCGTCCCAGAATTGAATGTCATAATCCAAGAATGGTATGACTAGCATTGTATAAAGTAGTGTAAGGTCCTCATTCTGGACACTTTGTTTCTCTTTTAGCCCTTTTATTTTCTGAGGAATAGTATTTCACAGTGGTTTTAATTTACATTTCACTGATTACTAAGAAGTTGTGCATCTTTTCATATATTTATTGCCATTTATATATTTTCTTTTGTGGAATATCTGTTAAGAACTTTTTCTATTTTTCTATATTTTTTTGTCTCTATTCCTAATAGCAACATTTTGTCCCTATGTGTTGCAAGTAACTTTTATCCTGAGGCTAGCCTTTTTTTAAACATTTTTAATTAGTCATATATAAAATATTTTTCTTTATGGTTAATGCTTTTCTGTGAATTTTTAAAGAAATCTTTCCAGACCCTGAGAACGTGAAAATGTTATCTTACATTTATTTATAAAAGCTTTATTGTGGTGCTTTTTACATTTAGATCTACATTCCACCTGGAATTGATTTGTGTGTAAGGTTTGAGATATATGTCAAGTTTAATTTTTTTCAAATAGCTATCCAATTATTCTAGCACCAATAATTGAAACTACACCCTTTTCCCACTATTTTGCAATACCATCTTTGTCAAAAATCAAATGATTATACATGCGTGAGTCTGTTTCTGGTGTCTGTATTCTGTTTCATTTGTCTATTTGTCTACCCTTGTGCCATTACCACACTATATTACTTATTATAAATTTAAATATCTTGAAATGTAATATGGCAAATTCTCCTACTTTGGTCTTCTTCATGAAGTGTCCTGACTATTCATTGCCCTTTATATTTCCTTTTAAAAAGGTAGAATGTTTATAACCGCAATATACAAATACAATTGATTATAGTATGTTGACCTTGTATCAAGTAATTTTCTAAACTCATATGTGAATATTAATAGTTTATCTGTATATTCTTTTACATTTTCTATTTACACAATAACATCAACCATAAAAAATGGCAGCTCTATTTTTTCTTCCAATCTTATACTTTTTATTCATTTTCATTTCCTTATTTCCTTTGACACCTCCAGAACACTCATTCCTTTCACCATTGTTGTGTAACAAACAACCCTAAAGCTTAGTGGCATGAAGCAACCATTTTATTATACTCACAGATTCTGCAGGTCAAGAATTCAGCCAGGGCACAGAGGTGACTACTTGTCTCTTCTCTACTGTAATTAGGACGTCAGCTGGAAAGCCTTGAAGGCTGGGAGTCACTTGATGGCTGCAGGCTAAAACCATTTGGAGGTTTCTTTATTTGTGTTTCTGGTGCCTTTGTTGAAATGATTCAAACATTAAGCTCAGATGTAAATGTTGACTAGAGTGCCTGAATATGGCTTCACCACATGACTTTCTCATGGCATGGCAGCTTCAGAGAGTTGATCTTCTCATACTGCAGCTTACAGCCCAATGAACAAGGCAGAAACTAGATCATCTTTTATGACCTTATCTTGGAAGTCACATAGCATCATTTCTCCGAACAGCTATAATCCAGAAACAAGAAAAACAACACTTGAATGGACTCCAAAGGAACCTTTAAGGTGACTTGGATAGGCTCCAAAAGCAAAAGTTATATGTCTTTGAAAAAAGATAGCATCATCTGGAGCCTCATTGTTAGTACCACATTTTCATCTCAAAGTCTAGCACTCGATTGAAAATAATCTTACCTAAAAAAATAGATGTGACTGAAAACTAAAGACTAGAAAAGCACACAAAAATTAAAAAGAGGTATTACCATCAAAGGAGTAGCAAAAAAAAAAATTATTGCTGACTGTACATCAGAACAAATGAGAGGCAGAAGACAATGAAAACATGGCTTCAATGTTCTAAAAGAATATAACTGTCAGCATAGAATATAACTGTGCTAAAATAATAACTGTCAGCATAGAAATCTAAAGCCAACAAAAATATCCCTTACAAACTAATGTGAAATAAAGACACTTTCATATAAACAAAAGAGAATTATTCACCAAAGTTTTACACTAATTGAAATACTAAAGAATGTATTTCGGGTAAAATAAAAAAGATTATAGCTAAGAGATGCAGCAAGAAGTGAAGAACAACAGAAATGGCAAATATCTGAGTAAATCTGAATGAGCAATGTGTAAAACAATAATAACAAATGTCTTGTGAGTTTAAAATATGTACAGAACTAAAAGACATAAGAAAAATTTAAAATTGTATATATAAATAAAAACCTTCCCACAAAGTAAACTATAGGCCCAGGTTGTTTCATTGGCAAAATTTACCAAACATTTAAAGAATAAATAATGCCAATTTTACCCATATTCTTCAATATAATAGAAGAAAAAGGATATTTCTCAATCATTTCAAGGGCAGCTTAGTGTTCATTCCAAAGCTTGATGAGTACATTTCAAGAAAAGAAATACACAGGCCAATCTCATCTCTTGAAAAATAGAAGCAAAGTTACTAAACTAAGTAGTATCAAACCAAATCCAGTAGTATATAAAAAGGATAGTACTTTATGACCAAGTTGGGTTATTCTAATTGTTAAGCAGAACACTGGGCATCACTTGCTAATCCCAGGAATTGACTCTAATCACATATGCCCATTGCATCGCTTTATCAGAGTCATGAAGGAGAACATAATGCAGTCAAGCCCTGGATGAAACAACACTTTACTTATATAGAAAAAAAACAGAGCACAATCAGCTTCAATAGTGTGTGTTGGTACCCTCCATGGCTAGACGGTACCCCCTAGCAACAAACACAGAGCAACTGGATAAGCACACCCTTCTTGTGCCTTAGAAAAAGGACCCTTATCCACACCCACACCAACCCAGTCTGAAAGACAGAAAGCTAGGACATGTCTGAGAGCCATGGATGCATACACTTAGTAAAACAAAAGAACACTTAGTAAGTCTGAAACAGAAAAATATTTCTAGCCTGGAACAGGGTGTGTAGGCTGCTTATCTCTTGCTAAGGAAATATTTTAGTCCCAATGCCTATTTTAAATGGCCATGTGGGGGTCAAAAGACTGCATACACAAGATTGCCTTTCCCAACACTAAGAATTCAGGGTTGGTTCAACACTTGAAAAGCAATCAATGTAATGTGCCTCATTAACTTAAGAAAGAAGAAAAATCACATGATCATCTCAATAGATGAAGAAAAGTAATGTGATAAATTCAGCTTCCCTTCATGATTGAAAATTAGCAAACTAGAAATAAAAAGAGCCTCTTTAATCTGATAAAAGATGTATATAAAAAGCTAAAGCAAACAGTATACTTAGTGGTGAAATATTAAACTTCTTCCTGTGACAATGGGAATGAAACATGAATACCTGCTATTACCTCTTCTACTCAACATAGTGCTAGATATTCTAGGCAATATAAAAGAAGAAAAATAAAATAAAGTTATAATTTTTGGAAGGGAATAAATTTAAATGTAACCAATTGTAAATAATACACATGTATGTAGAAAATACAAAAGAAAATCTAATAAACTATTTTAAATAATAAATTGTTTGAGCAAGATAACTGCCTGCAAGATCAATATGTAAATAGAATGGTATTTGAACATATTAGTAACAGACATGGGAAATAAAAATGTTTAAACATACCATTTAAGATAAATAAAACAATATTGAAGGAAAAGAACAGAGTTGGAGGACTGACACTACCCAATTTCAAGGCATACTATAAAGCTACAGAAATCAAGACAGTGTGGTATTGGTGAAAGAACAAATAGATCAAGGGAATAGACTAGAGAGCCTAGAAATAGACCTACATTAATACAGTCAACTGACCTTTAATAATGAAGGCAATTGAGCTAATAAGGTAGTTCTTTTAACAAATGGTGCTGGAATAACTGGATACCTGCATGTAAAAAAAAATGAGTCTAGACATGAGATTTTACACCCGTTACAATAATTAACTCAAAATGGATCACTGACCTAAATTTAAAATGCAAAACTATAAAACTCCTAGAAGATACCATAGGAGAAAATCTAGGTGACTCAGAGTTTAACAATGACATTTTAGATAAAACACCAAAACCACAGTCCATAAAAGAAATAATCCGTAACCTTAACATCATTAAAATTAACAAATTTCTTACAGAGAATATGAAAATTTATTTAGATAGAGAGTAGATTGGTAGTTGCTAGAGGCTGGTGGTGAGGGTTTGGGAAGAATAGAGGGGTTGGGAGGTGAGAACTAAAGGGTATGGGGTTTATTTATGGGGTCGTGAGAATGTCCTAAAATTGGTTGTGGTGATGATTACATAACTGAATATAGTGCAGATAAAAACTATTAGATTGTACCCTTTAAAGGAATAAATTGTATAATATATGAATTATACTTTAATAAATCTGTTACCAAATAAAATTTAAAAGTTCAGCTCTGCAGAAGACACTGTCAAGAGAATAAAAAGAGAAGCCAGAGACTGGGAGAAAATGTTTACAAAAGACATATCCGATAAGGGACAGTTTTACAAAATATACAAATAACAAAATATACAAAATATACGAATACTTAAAACTCAACAATAAGAAAATATACAAATACTTAAAACTCAACAATAAGAAAACAAACAACCAAATAAAAATGGGCCAAAGATCTTAAGCAACACCTACCTCATTAAAGAAGTTATACAGCTGGCAAATATACATTTGAAAAGATGCTCAGCTTCGTATGTCATGATGGAAATGTAAATGAAAACAACAATGAGATACCACTACACAACTATTAGAATAACCAAAATCCAGAACACTGACAACAGCAAATGCTGGTGAGAATGTATAGCAACAGGAACATCATTCATTGCTGGTGGAAATGCAAAATGGCCCAGCCACTTTGGAAGTCAGTTTGGTGGTTTCTTACAAAATGAAGCATACTCATACCATATTACCCAGCAATCATGCTGCTTGGTGTTTCTCCAAAGGAGTTAAAAACTTATGTCTACAGAAACAAGCACATGGATGTTTATAGCAGCTTTATTCACAATTGCCTACACTTGGAAGCAAATAAGATGTCCTTCAGTACATGAATGAATAGATTAACTGTGGTACATCCAAAAATGAAATATTATTAGATACTGAAAAGAAGTGAGCTATTAAGCCATGAAAATACATAGAGGAAACTTAAATCCTTACTATTAAGTGAAATAAGCTAGTCTGAAAAGGCTACATACCGTATGATTCCAACTATGGGACATTATGGAAAAGGCAAAACTATGGATACAGTAAAAACATCAGTGGCTTCCAGGGGCTGGGGGTAGGTAGAGACAAATAGGTAGAGCTATTTGAAAATATTCTATTTGAAAACACACAGCCAGAGGAGACAAAATAAAAAACAATAAAAAACAAGTACACCTACAGGATCTAGAAAATAGCATCAAAGGGGAAAATCTTAACACAGTTATTGGCTTTCAAGAATAGGTAGAGAAAGAGAGACTCTCGGGCAGCAGACTTTTTGGTGGAAACCTTACAGTCCAGCAGTGCTGGAAGAAGAAAACTTTTACTCTAGAATAGTATATTCAGCAAAAATATCCTTGAAACATAAAAGAGAAATAAAGACTTTCCCAGACAAACAAAAGCTGAGAGATTTCATTAACACCAGACCTGTCCCACAAGAAATGCTAAAAGGAGGACTTCAGTCAGAAATAAAAGAACATTAATAAGCCATGAGAAATCATCTGAAATACAAAGTAAACTGGTAATAATGAGTACACAGGAAAAAAAATTGTAGCACTGTGACTGTGGTGTGTAAACTACTCTTACCTTAAATGTCCATCAATGATAGACTGGATTAAGAAAATGTGGCACATATACACCATGGAATACTATGCAGCCATAAAAAAGGATGAGTTCATGTCCTTTGTAGGGACATGGATGAAGCTGGAAACCATCATTCTCAGCAAACTATCGCAGGGACAAAAAACCAAACACCGCATATTCTCACTCATAGGCGGGAATTGAACAATGAGAACACTTGGACACAGGAAGGGGAACATCACACATCAGGGCCTGTCGTGGGGTGGGGAGAGGGGGGAGGGATAGCGTTAGGAGATATAACTAATGTAAATGACGAGTTAATGGGAGCAGCAAACGAACATGGCACATGTATACGTATGTAACAAACCTGCACGTTGTGCACGTGTACCCTAAAACTTAAAGTATATATATATAAAAAAAGTAGAAAGACTAAATGATGAACCAGTCAAAAACAATAATTACAACATTTGGCTGGGCACAATGGCTCACGCTTGTAATCCCAGCAATTTGGGAGGCCAAGGCTGGTGGATCTTTTGAGCTTAGGAGTTCGAGACCAGCCTGGGCAGTGTAGCAAAACCCCATCAGTACAATAACAATAATAATAATAATAATAATAATAATAATAATAATAATATTCTGTGCACAGTGGCACATGCCTGTAGTCCCAGCTACTCAGGAGGCTGAGGTGGGAGGATTGCTTGAGCCCAGGAGGCAGAGATTGCAGTGAGCCATGATTTTGCCACTGCACTCCAGCCTGGGTGACAGAGTGAGACTCTGTCTCAAAAAAGGAAAAATAAACAATAATTACAACTTTTCAAGACATAGACAGTACAATAAGATATAAGTAGAAACAACAAAAAGTTAAAAAAAAGGAATGAAGTTAATATGTATGGTTTTTAATAATTTTCTTTTTGCTTGCTTGTTAGGTTTTTTATTCAAACAGTGTAAAGTTTCTAACTAAAAATAATGGGTTATAAGATAGTAACCTCTTGTAAGGTTGTAAGCCTCATGGTAACCTCAAATCAAAAAGCATACAATAGATACACAAAAAAGCAAGAAATTAAATCATACAATCAAAGAAAATCACCTTTAATAAAAGAAAGACAGGAAGGAAGGAAAGAAGAAAGAGGAAACACAAATCAGCCAGAAAACAAATAATAAAATGGCAGGAGTAAATCTTTACAATCAACAATAACACTGACCAGAAATGAACTAAATGCTCAAGTGAAAACACATAGACTGGCTGAATGGATTTAAAAAATACCCAATTATCTGTTGCCTGCAAGAAACACACTTCCCCTACAAAGGTGCACATGGATCGAAAACAAAAAGATATAAAAATATATTCCATACCAATGGAAACAAAAAAAGAGGAAGAGTAGCTACACTAATATCAGACAAAATAAATTTCAAGAAAAAAATTCTATAAGAAGGAACAAAGAAAGACACTCTATAATGATGAAAGTGTCAATACAGTCAGAAAATATGACAATTTTTAATGTAAATGCACCCAACACTGGAATACCCAGATATATAAAACAAATATTATTAGAGCTAAAGAGAGACAGATGCCCCAATACAATAATAGCTGGAGACATCAAACACCCGACTTTCAGCATTGGACAGCTCTTCCAGAAAGAAAATCAACAAAGCAACATTAGAAATAATCTCCACTATAGACCAAAGTGAACTAACAGAAATTTACAGAACATTTCATCCAGTGGCTGCAGAATACACATTCTTCTCAGCACATGGATCATTCTCAAGGATAGACCATATGTACAGTCACAAAACAAGTCTTTAAAAATTTTTAAAAATATTGAAATAATATCAAGCATCTTCTCTAACCACATGGAATAAAACTATAAATCAATGACAAGAGAAATTTAGGAAATTATAAAAACACATGGAAATTAAACAATATGCTCCTGAATGACCGGTGGATCAGTAAAGAAATTAGGAAGGGAATATAAAAATTGGTTGAAACAAACGATAATGTAAACACAACATACCGAAATCTATGAGATACGGCAAAAGCACTACTAAGATGGAAGTGTATAGCTGTAAGTGCTACATAAAAAAATACTTCAAATAAGCAACCTAATAATTTATTGTAAAGATGTGCTTATTTTACATTGCATGCCTATATCAAAACATCTCATGTACCCCATAAATATATACACCTACTATGTACCCAAAAAATTAAAAATTAAAAAATTAAAATTAAAGTCAAAGAACTAGAAAAGCAAGAGCAAACAAAACACAAAATTATTCAAAGAAATGATATCAGAGCTGAAATTAATAAATATGAAATGAACAAAATAATACAAAAGATCAATGAAACAGAAAGTTGGTGTTCTGAAAAGATAAATTAACAAACCTTTAGTCAAACTAATTCTGAAAAAGAGAGAAGACCCAAATAAAATCAATGTTGAAATATGTGACATTTCAATTGATACTGAAGAATTTCAAAGGATCATTAGTGGCTACTGTAAGCAACCATATGCCAATTGGAAAATCTAGAAGAAATGGATGAATTCCTACACAAATACAAGTTACCAAGGTTGAACCATGGATAAATCCAAAACCTGGACAGATCAGTAACAACTAATGAGATTGAAGCCGTAATAGAAAGATTTTTAGTAAAGAAAAGCCTGGCACCCAATGGTTTCACTGCTGAATTCCACCAAACATATAAAGAAGAATTAATACCAACCTACTCACACTATTGTGAAACATAGAAGAAGAGGGGACACTTTTAAATTCATTCTATGAGGCCAGTATTGCTCTGATACAAAAAAACAAAGACACATCAAAAAAGGAGAACTATAGGTGAATATCTTTGTTGAATATTGACACAAAAATACTCAACAAAATACTTCCAAACTGAATTCAATCACACATTAAAAATATCATTCATGATCACCAAGTAGGATTTATCCCATTAATTGAAGGATAGTTCAAGATATGCAAATCAATTATTGTTATACATCATATAAAGAGAATGAAAGACTAAAATCATATGATTATTTCAATTGATGCTAAAAAAGCATTTGAAAAAAATCCAACATCCCTTCATGATAAAAACCCTAAAAAAACTGGGAATAGAAGCAACATACCTTTACATAGTAAAAGCCATGTATGACAGACCCATAGTTAGTATCATACTTAATGAGGAAAAACTGAAAGTCATTTCTCTAAGATCAAGAGCATGACAAGGGTGCCAACTTTTGCCATTGATATTCAGCATAGTACTGGAAGTCCTAGTTAGAGTAATCAGAAAAGAGGAACAAATAAAGGGTACCCAAATTGGAAAAGAAAAATAAAATTATCCTTGTTTGCAGATGATGTAATCTTATATTTGATAAAACCTAAAATCTCCTCCAAAGAGCTATTAGAACTAATATACAAATTCAGTAAAGTTGCAGGATACAAAATCAACATATAATAACTGCTAGCATTTCCATATGGCAACAGAAAACAATCTGAAAAATAAGTCAAGAAAGTAACCCCATTTGCAGTAGCTACAAATAAAATAAAATAACTGGGAATTAACTTAATCAAAGAAGTGAATGATCTCTACAATAAAAACTATAAAACATTGATGTAAGAAATTGAAGAAAAGAAAAAATTGGAAAGGTATTCCACAATCATGAATGGGAAGAATTAATATTGTTAAAATATTCATAGCACCCAAGCAATCTACAAATTCAATGTAATATCTGTCAATGTAACAATGACATTCTTAACAGAACAAAAATCTAAAAATTTGTATGGAACCACAGTAAACCCAGAATAGCCAAAGCTATTCTAAGAAAAAGAACAGAACTGGAGGAATCACATACCTGACTTCAAATTATATTACGGAGCTATAGTAACTAAAACAGCATGGTAACACCATAAAAACAGACACACAGACCAATGGAGCAGAATAGAGAAACCAGAAACAAATTCACACACCTAAAGTGAACTCATTTTCAGCAAAGGTGCCAAAAACATACACTGGGGAAAAGAAAGTCACTTTAATAAATGGTGTTGAGAAAACTGGATACTCATTCTCAAAAGAATGGAACTAGGTCCCGCTCTCTTGCCACATAGAAAAATCAATTCAAAATGGATTAAAGACTTCACCTAAGGTATAAAACTAAGAAACTACTGAAAGAAAACATTGGGGAAACTCTCCAGGACATTGGACTAGGCAAAGATCTCTTTGAGTAATAACCCACAAGCATAGGAAACCATAGCAAAAGTTGACAGATGATATCAAATCAAGTTAAAAAGCTTCTGCACAGCAAAAAACAAAAACAAAGACAAAACAAAGCAAAACAAAAAAAAAAAATCAATAAAATGAAGAGACAACCCACCCAGTGGGAGAAAATATTTGTAAACTACCCACCTGCATTACTCAGTTCTAACACTGCTATAAAGAAATATGTGAGACGGGGTAATTTGTTTTAAAAGAGGTTTAATTGGCTCACAGTTCTGAAGGCCATACAGGAAGCATGATTCTGGCATCTGCTCAGTTTCTGGGAAGGTCTCAGGAAACTTTCAATTATTGAGAAAGGCAAAAGGGAAGCAAGCATGTCTTACTTGGCCAGAGCAGGAGCAAGGGGGCAGAAGGTACTATACACTTTTAAACAACCAGTTCTCACAATAATTACTATTGTGATGACAGCTCCAGGAGGGATGGTATTAAACCATGAGAAACTGCCCCCATAATCCAGTCATCTCCCATCAGGCCCCTTCTCCAACATTGGCTATTACAATTGAATATGAAACTTGGGTGAAGACAAAGATCCAAACCATATCATTCCACCCCGGCCCCTCCCAAAACTCATTTCTTTCTCAAACTGCAAAATACAATCAGGCCTTCCCAACAGGCCCTCACAGTCTTAACTCATTCCAGCATTAACTCAAAAGTCCAAATTTCAAAGTCTCATTTGAGACAAGGCAAGTCCTTTCCACCTAAGAGCCTGTAAAATAAAAAACAAGTTAGTTACTTCCAAGATACAACAGCAATATAGGCATTTAATAAGCACTCCTGTTTCAAAAGGGAGAAATCATCCAAAATAAGGGACTACAGGCCCCACACAAGTCTGAAACCCAGAAAGAAATTTATTACATCTTAAATCTCCAAAATAATCTTTGACACCAATGTCTCACATCCAGGGCACACTGGTGCAACACTGCTCCAACCCCTCATTTCCCCTCCATGCTGCCCTAGCAGAGGTTCTCCATGAGGGCTCCACCCCTGCAGCAGCTTCTGCCTGGGCATCCAAGCTTTTCCATACATCTTCTGGAATCCAGATGTAGGCTCCCAAGCCTCAACTGTTGTACTCTGCACACCCACAGGCTTAATACAACATGGAAGCCACCATGGCTTATGGCTTTCACCCTCTGAGGCAGTGACCCAAGCTGCATCTGGGCCCCTTTTAAGCCATAGCTGGGATTGGAGCAGCTGGGATACAGAAAGCAGTCTCCTGAGGCTGCACAGGGCAGCGGGGCCCTGGGTCTGGCTCAGGAAATGATTCTTCCCTCCTAGGCCTCCAGGCCTGTGATGGAAGGAGCTGCCAAGCAAGTCTCTGAAATGCTTTCAAGGCATTTTTTTTTTCATTGTCTTGGCTATCAGCACTTGCTTTTCTCTTAGTTATGCAAATTTATGCAGCCAGCTTGAATTCCTCCTCTGAAAATGGCCTTTTCTTTTTTACCACATGACCAGGCTGCAAATTTTCCAAACTTTTATGCTTTGCTTCCCTTTTAAATATAAGTTCCAGTTTCAGTTCATTTCTTTGCTGCTTAGAAATTTCTTCCATCAGATACCCTAAATCATCTCATAACAGAAGTGACCAATACGTTTCTTATCTTCATCTGAGACCTCCTGAGACTGGCCTTCACTGTCCATATCACTATCAGCATTTTGGTCATAACCATTCAACCAGTCTCTAGGAAGTTACATACTTTCCCTCATCTTCCTGTCTTCTTCTGAGCCTTCCACACTCTTCCAACCTCTGCCCATTACCCAGTTCCCATTACCCAGTTCCACTTCTACAATTTCAGGTATCTTTATAGCAATGCCACACTCCTTGATACCAATTTGTCATATTAGCCAATTCACACACTGCTATAAAGAATACCTGAGACTGGATAATTTATAAAGCAATGAGGTTTAATTGGCTTATTAATGGATAAAGAAATTGTGGTACATATACACAGGCAGGCATACAGGAAGCATAGCAGCATCTACTTCTGGGAAGGCCTCAGGGAGCTTTTACTCATGGCAGAAGGCAAATCAGAAACAGGTGTCTTACATGGCAGGAGCAAGACCAAGGAAGCTTGGGGTGGGGGGTGCCACACACTTTTAAACAACCAGATATCACAAGAATTCATTATCACAACAACAGCTCCAATGGGGACGGAGTTAAACCATGAGAAATCACCCCATGACCAATTCACCTGCCACCAGGCCCCACTTCCAACATTGGGAATTACAATTGAACATGAGATTTGGGTGGGGACACAGAACCAAACCATGTCACCATCTGACAAGGAATTTATAACCAGAATATATAAGGAGCTCAAACAGTTCTGTAGGAAAATGCCTAATAATCCAATTCAAAAATAGACAAAAGATTTGAATAGAGATTTCTCAAATGAAGACATAAAAATGATAAACAGATATATGAAAAGACACTCAACATCATTGCTCATCAGAGAAATGCGTATCAAAACCGCAATGATATATCATCTCACCCCAGTTAAAATGGCTTTTATCCAAAGACCGGCAATAACAGATGCTGGCAAGGATGTGGAGAAACGGGAACCCACATACACTGTTGGTAGTAATGTAAGTGAGTACAACCACTATAAAGAACAGTTTGGAAGTTCCTCAAAAAACTAAAAATAGAGCTACCATATGATCCAGCAATCCCACTCCTAGGTATATAGCCAAAAAGAAAGGAAATCAGTATATCGAAGAGATATCTGTACTCTCATGTTTATTACAGCCCTATTCCCAATAGCCAAGATTTGGAAGCAACCTAAGGGTCTGTCAACAAATGAATGAAGATATTGTAGTACATATACACAACTGACTACTATTCAGTCATAAAAAAGAATGAGATCCTTTCCTTTGCAACAACATAGATGGCACTGTAGGTCATTATATTAAATAAAATAAGCCAGGCACAGAAAGACAAACATCACACATTCTCACTTATTTGTGGGTGTTAAAAATTAAAACAATTGAACTCATGAAGATAAAAACTAGAATGATGGTTACCAGATGCTGGGAAGGGTAGTGGCTAGACAGAGAGAAGTTGGGATGGTTAATGGGTTCAAAAAACAGAAAGAATGAATAAGACCTAGTATTTGCTAGCACAACAGTGTGACTATGGTAAAAAATAATTATACCTTTTTCAAAAACTGAAAGAGTATAATTGGATAGCTTGTAACCAAAGGATAAATACTTGAGGTGATGGATACCCCATTTACACCAATATGATTATTATGCATTGCATGTCTGTATCAAAATATATCACGTAACCGATAAATATATGCACATACTATGTACCCACACAAATAAAAAATAAATAAAAAACCAAAAAATTTAAAAATAATTTAAATTTTAATTAATAATGAATAAGGTTTGGTGTTAAAGATGTGTGAAGGGATATATAAATTGTCTCTTTTTAATGTTTTTTTATTATACTGTAACTTCTAGGGTACATGTGCACAATGTGCAGGTTTGATACATAGGTATACATGTGCCATGTTGGTTTGCTGCACCCATCAACTCGTTGTTTACATTAGATATATCTCCTAATGCTATCCCTCCCCCAGGCCCCACCCCTGACAGGCCCCTGTGTGTGATGTTCCCCGCCCTGTGTCCAACTGATCACAGTGGTCAATTCCCACCTACGACTGAGAATATACAGTGTTTGGTTTTCTGTCCTTGTGATAGTTTGCTGAGAATGATGGTCTCCAGCTTCATCCATGTCCCTACAAAGGACATGAACTCATCCTTTTTATGGCTGCATAGTATTCCATGGTGTACATGTGCCACATTTTCTTAATCCAGTCTATCATTGATGGACATTAGGGTTAGTTCCAAGTCTTTACTATTGTGAATAGTGCTGCAATAAACATACGTGTGCATGTGTCTTTATAGTAGCATAGTTTGTGATCCTTTGGGTATATATCCAGTAATAGGATTGCTGGGTCAAATGATATTTCTAGTTCTAGATCCTTGAGGGATCACCACACTGTCTTCCACAATGGTTGAACTAATTTACACTCCCAACAACAGTGTAAAAGTGTTCCTATTTCTCCATATCCTCTCCAGCATCCGTTGTTTCCTGACTTTTTAATGATTGTCATTCTAACTGGCACAAGATGGTATCTCACTGTGGTTTTGATTTGCATTTCTCTGACGGCCAGTGATGATGAGCATTTTTTCTGGTGTCTGTTGACTGCATAAATGTCTTCTTTTGAGAAGTGCCTGTTCATATCCTTTGCCCACTTTTTGATGGAGTTGTTTTTTTCTTGTAAATTTGTTTGAGTTCTTTGTAGATTCTGGATATTAGGCCTTCATCAGATGGGTAGATTGCAAAAATTTTCTCCCATTCTGTAGGTTGCCTGTTCACTCTGATGGTAGTTTCTTTTGCTGTGCAAAAGCTCTTTAGTTTAATTAGATCCCGTTTGTCAATTTTGGCTTTTGTTGCCATTGCTTTTGGTGTTTTAGACATGAAGCCCTTGCCCATGCCTGTGTCCTGAATGGTAATGCCTAGGTTTTCTTCTAGGGTTTTTATGGTTTTAGGTCTAACATTTAAGTCTTTAATCCATCTTGAATTAATTTTTGTATAAGGTGTAAGGAAGAGATCCAGTTTCAGCTTTCTACATATGGCTAGCCAGTTTTCCCAGCACCATTTATTAAATAGGGAATCCTTTCCCCATTTCTTGTTTTTGTCAGGTTTGTCAAAGATCAGATGGTTGTAGATGTGTGGTGCTATTTCTGAGGCCTCTATTCTGTTTCATTGGTGTATATATCTGCTTTGGTGCCAGTACTATGCTGTTTTGGTTACTGTAGCCTTGTAGTATAGTTTGAAGTCAGGTAGCATGATGCCTCCAGCTTTTTTCTTTTTGCTTAGGATTGTCTGGGCAATGCGTGCTCTTTTTTGGTTCCACATGAACTTTAAAGTAGTTTTTTCCAATTCTGTGAAGAAAGTCATTGGTATCTTGATGGGGATGGCATTGAATCTATAAATTATCTTGGGCAGTATGGCCACTTTCACGATATTAATTCCTCCTATCCATGAGCATGGAATGTTTTTCCATTTGTTTGTGTCCTCTTTTATTTCATTGAGCAGTGGTTTGTAGTTCTCCTTGAAGAGGTCCTTCACATCCCTTGTAAGTTGGATTCCTAGGTATTTTATTCTCTTTTTAGCAATTGTGAATGGGAGTTCACTCATGATTTGGCTCTCTGTTTGTCTGTTATTGGTGTATAAGAATGCTTGTGATTTTTGCACTTTGATTTTGTATCCTGAGACTTTGCTGAAGTTGCTTATCAGCTTAAGGAGATTTGGGGCTGAAACGATGGGGTTTTCCAAATATACAATCATGTCATGTGCAAACAGGGACAATTTGACTTCCTCTTTTCCTAATCGAATACACTTTATTTCTTTCTCTTGCCTGATTGCCCTGTCCAGAACTTCCAACACTATGTTGAATAGGAGTGGTGAGAGAGGGCATCCTTGTCTTGTGCCGGTTTTCAAAGGGAATGTTTCCAGTTTTTGTCCATTCAGTATTATATTGGCTGTGGGTTTGTCATAAATAGCTCTTATTATTTTGAGATACGTCCCATCAATACCCTGTTTATTGAGAGTTTTTAGCATGAAGAGCTGTTGAATTTTGTCGAAGGCCTTTTCTGCATCTATTGAAATAACCATGTGGTTTTTGTCATTGGTTCTGTTTATGTGATTGATTATGCTTATTGATTTGTGTATTTTGAACCAGCCTTGCATCCCAGGGATGAAGCAGTCCTGATTGTGGTGGATAAGCTTTTTGATGTGCTACTGGATTCAGTTTGCCAGTATTTTCTTGAGGATTTTCTCATCTATATTCATTAGGGATGTTGGTCTAAAATTCCCTTTTTTTGTTGTGTCTTTACCAGGCTTTGGTATCAAGATGATGTTGGCCTCACAAAATGAGTTAGCAAGGATTCCCTCTTTTTCTATTGATTGGAATAGTTTCAGAAGGAATGGTACCAGCTCCTCTTTGTACCTCTGGTAGAATTCGGCTGTGAATCCATCTGTTCCTGGACTTTTTATGGTTGTAATTATTGCCTCAATTTCAGAGCCTGTTTTTGGTCTATTCAGAGATTCAAATTCTTCCTGGTTTAGTCTTGGAAGGGTGTATGTGTCCAGGAACTTATCCATTTGTTGTAGATTTTCTAGTTTATTTGCGTAGAGATGTCTATAGTATTCTCTGAGGGTAATTTGTATTTCTGTGGGATCGGTGGTGATATCCCCTTTATCCTTTTTTATTGCATCTATTTGATTCTTCTCTCTTTTCTTCTTTATTAGTCTTGCTAACTATCAATTTTGTTGATCTTTTCAAAAAACCAGCTCATGGATTCATTGATTTTTTAAGGGTTTTTTGTGTCTCTATCTCTTTCCATTCTGCTCTGATCTTAGTTATTTCTTGCCTTCTGCTAGCTTTTGAATGTGTTTGCTCTTGTTTCTCTAGTTCTTTCAGTTGTGATGTTAGGGTGTCGATTTGAGATCTTTCCTGCTTTCTCTTATGGGCATTTAGTGCTATAAATTTTCCTCTACACACTGCTTTAAAAGTGTCCCAGAGATTCTGGTATGTTGTGTGTTTGTTCTCATTGGTTTCAAAGAACATCTTTATTTCTGCCTTCATTTCATTACATACCCAGTAGTCACTCAGGAGCAAGTTGTTCGGTTTCCATGAAGCTGTGCAGTTTTCAGTGAGTTTCTTAATCGTGAGTTCTAATTTGCTTGCACTGTGGTCTGAGAGACAGTTTGTTGTGATTTCTGTTCTTTTACATTTGCTGAGGAGTGTTTTTCTTCCAATTATGTGGTCAATTTTGGAATAAGTGTGATGTGGTGCTGAGAAAAATGTATATTATGTTGATTTGGGGTGGAGAGTTCTGTAGATGTCTATTAGGTCTGCTTGGTGCAGAGCTGAGTTCAAGCCCTGGATATCCTTGTTAACCTTCTTTCTCATTGATCTGTCTAGTACTGCCACTGGGGTGTTAAAGTCTCCCATTATTATTGTGTGTGAGTCTAAGTCTCTTTGTAGGTCTCTAAGGACTTGCTTTATGAATCTGGGTGCTCCTGTATTGGGTACATATATATTTAGGATAGTTAGCTCTTCTTGTTGAATTAATCCCTTCACCATCATGTAATGGCCTTCTTTATCTCTTTTGATCTTTGTTGGTTCAAAATCTGTTTTAACAGAGACTAGGATTGCAACCACTTCTTTTTTTTTTTTTTTTTTTTTTTTTTTTTTTGCTTTCCATTTGCTTGGTAGATCTTCCTCCATCCCTTTATTTTGAGCCTGGTGGTGACAAAATCTCTTGGCATTTGCTTGTCTGTAAAGGATTTTATTTCTCCTTCACTTATGAAGCTTAGTTTGGCTGAATATGAAATTCTGGGTTGAAATTTTTTTTTAATATTTTAGTACATTTATTAAATTAGTAAATGTAATCTTAGAACATGTATTAGTTCTTTAAGAATGTTGAATATTGGCCTCCAGTCTCTTCTGGCTTGTAGGGTTTCTTCTGAGAGATCCGCTGTTAGTCTGATGGGCTTCCCTTTGTGGGTAACTCGACCTTCCTCCCTGGCTACCCTTATCATTTTTTCCTTTATTTCAGCCTTGGTGAATCTGACAATTATGTGTCTTGCTCTTACTCTTCTCGAGGAGTATCTTTGTGGTGTTCTCTGTATTTCCTGAAGTTGAATGTTGGCCTGTCTTTCTAGGTCTTTCTAGGTTGGGGAAGTTCTCCTGGACAATATCCTGCAGAGTGTTTTCCAACTTGGTCCCATTCTCCCTGACACTTTCAGGTACACCAATCAAATGTAGATTTGGTCTTTTCACATAGTCCCATATTTCTTGGAGGCTTTGTTCGTTTGTTTTTACTCTTTTTCCTCTTTGTCTTCTCATTTTATCTCATTAATTTCATCTTTGGTCACTGATAGCCTTTCTTCCACTTTTCAAATTGGCTACTGAAGCATGTGCATGTGTCACGAAGTTCTCATGCCATGGTTTGCAGCTCCATCAGGTCATTTAAGGTCTTCTCTACACTGTTTATTCTAGTTAGCCATTCGTCTAACCTTTTTTTCAAGGTTTTTAGCTTCCTTGCAATGGGTTCAAACATGCTCCTTTAGTTCGGAGAAGTTTGTTATTACCAACCTTCTGAAGCCTACTTCTGTCAACTCATCAGTCATTCTCCGTCCAGCTTTGCTCCGTTGCTGGTGAGGAACTGTGATCCTTTGGAGGAGAGGAGGTGCTCCTCTGATTTTTAGAATTTTCAACTTTTCTGCTCTGGTTTCTCCCTATCTTTGTGGTTTTAGCTACCTTTGGTCTTTCATGTTGGTGACCTACAGATGGGGTTTTGGTGTAGATGTCCTTTTTGTTCATGTTGATGCTATTCCTTTCTGTTTGTTAGCTTTCCTTCTAACAGTCAGGCCCCTCTGCTGCAGGTCTGTTGGCGTTTGCTGGAGGTCCACTCCAGACCCTGTTTGCCTGGCTATCACCAGCGGAGGTTGCAGAACAGCAAATATTGCTGGCTGATCCTTCCTCTGGAAGCTTCCTCCCAGAGGGGCACCCACCTATATGAGGTGTCTGTCGGCCCCTACTGGGAAGTGTCTCCCAGTTAGGCTACACAGGGGTCAGGGACCCACTTGAGGAGGCAGTCTGTCCATTCTCAGAGCTCAAACACCATGTTGGGAGAACCACTGCTCTCTTCAGAGCTCAGTTGGAAATGCAGAAATCACCCGTGTTCTGGGTCGATCATGCTGGGATCTGCCGACTGGAGCTGTTCCTATTCGGCCATAGTTCCATGTAGCTGGGAGAGGCCTCACAATTATGGCAGAAGGTGAAGGCACTTCAGTGGAAAGCAGGGGCTCCAACGGGGTAAAGGCATGCTCCATAACAGATTATTGGCCTACAATAGCGGGTGGAGCCACAGAGTTGGGAGCACAGGCTGCGGGAGCTAAGGCGATTGACTGCTTGGCATGCGGCTGAGGAGCCTCTGGGATATATAAATTTTCAAAATTTATTTAAGGGTTATGGAATCAATATATTTAAGTGATCCTGAAGACATGTTTTCATCTTACATTTATGAAATTTCTTCAAACTCCTTATAAAAATTAAAATAAAACATGATTGTTTATTTTCCTTTCCACAAGTCTCGTAACTCTACAAATAAAGAAAATTAACTTAAAACTATAGTTAACCAAAACTATATTTCATAGGCCGTTAGTCTAGAATAATGATAAGTAATACACACATACACACACACACACACACACAAATAGAATTGTTCTGTGTTCAAATACTTTGCTAAATACCTGTTTCCCATATTTATTTAGCCATAGAACAGATTTTTTAATTCCAGCACCATTCTATTAACATTTAGTATTCTGAGGGACACCAGTTTGAGTAACACTGGTTTCGCATAATACATTCTTAGTGAATCCACATTGACTTTTAGTAACATCCATTTCTTTTTCCAAAGTGCTTTTTAATACATTTAGAATCTTTCTTAGACTTCCACTCTTATGTTCAAATAAATAAATCATATTCTTCCATCATCAGTCTTCTGAACTCTCTTTTATTCTTCTTAGTAAGATTACTAATAGTTGTTGATCAGTTTCATTTACTAATCTTCTCACTACTTATTCTAAGTTGTTCCCCCCTACCTTGTACAGCTTGAGAATTATGACAAGAGTATCATGTGTGAATGCAGAGTCTATTTATAAGTTTTTGGAATGGAGTCATATACTACATATACTATAAAGCAGATAAATGCTACTCTTAGGAAAAAAATACATTGCAGAAAAGAACACTTCTATTTCTACACTACAAGACTTTAAAATACTTATTAAATTATTTATTATATGGCAAGCAGTGTGTATTTTATGTACTTTCATTTTTTCATTTAACTCTTCATAGAAATCCTATGAAATAGGTATTATTATCCTTATTTGATGGAGGATAAATCTAAGACATAATATTTAAGCAATTTGCTCAAGGTCATGTAACTAGTAAAGAGAGAAGCAATGTTTCAGAAGTAGATGTATTTTATTCTATGTTTTTAACTACTATGCTATACTGCCTCCCTGAGGACAAACTTTATATTTATTCCTTAGTATCTCAGAATGCCTAGTATAGTAGTTGCTCAAAAAATATTTACTGAATGAATAACTATATAAACAAATGTATTTCAGCTGGGTCAAGGGACTTTCATGCATTCAAAGAATTTATGTACTCTAGGAAAATATCTCTTTCCATCTTTAAACGCCTATTTACTAGTGTTATTCTACCCTTATCAGTCTGTAGAAGTCTGTCTAAATACTATGAGTGTCTTTCAAAATTAATTCTTGAAATTCTGTAAATTAAATAAAAAGGAAAAGGAGATTTTAAAAACAGCTTAACAGATTTCTGCATACCCTTTAATAAAGGACTGTATGATGTGTGAGGTCTCTGTGGATAAACACATAAGTGTAATAAACATTTTTTTAAGATTTATTTCTTATTTTCCTATAATGAGACTATTATTTTACTAGAGAGTGATCATCTTACATATGATAATATTAATATCTTTTGTTAACTTAGGAGAAATTACAGAAAAAAATTTCTAACTTTATGGAAGTCTCTCAGTTCACTGTCTTAATTTAACACATATCTCCAGGAGTTCACATCATAAAGACAAACAAATCTAAGTGAGTAATTCTAACATAAGATAACGATAAATGCAATAAAATAGACACAAGTAAGATGTTATGGGAAGAGATTCACTAAGATAAGGTGGACTTGAAAAGGTTACATTCATTCAAAGACAGTTTACTGGATAACTACCACTTGCCAGGCACTGTGCTCATTATGAGAGAGACAGCAATGCCTTAAAACAAGATTTCTACACTTTAGGAGTTCATAGCTTTGTAGGAATTACCAATAAGAAACAAAAAGTATAGTACTCACTGAGGAGTGTTATAGAAAATAGTATATATATAAAACACACAAAATAGCGTGGAAGCACAAGAAAAAGAAATATTAAATCTTCTTGAGAGAAATGGAAAAGATTTGCTGAGGAGCTAATTTTCCTATTTTAAACTGTTTTTATTTATCTTGTTTTCAATGTGTAATATAGTCACATGTCTCAAAATAAAGCAACATAACAAGGTTTCTATTCAGAAGTCCCATTTCTATCCTTTCTCAATCTACATGGCTCCTCCTACCCCTCCATTAACTGCTTTTATTCAATATTGTGGCTACTTCGAGTGTTTCTTTATGTAAAAGCAAGAAAATTATGACATACTTCATTTTCATTTCCAACCTTTATTTATTACAAAGGTAGTATACTATAGATACTCTACCTTTCCTTGCTTTTTTTCACTGAACTCTGTATCCTGAAACCTTCTCATATCAGTATAAATAAAGAGCGGGTCTTCATTCTTTGTTTTTCAAACAGGTGAGTAGTACTCCATTGTATGAATGTACCATAACTTATTTAACCAGTTCTCTGTGATGTACATTTGAGTTATTTCTAATATTTTATTAATCCAAACAGTACACCAATAAAAAGTTTTGTATATATGCATACACAGGTATATCTGTAGACATAAATTCTAGTAGGATTGTTGACTCGAACAAATTCATTTGTATTTTTTATAAATATTACAAAATTAACCTTCATAGGGATTGTTCTACCAAAATATATGAGAGTGCTTACTTCCTGAAGTTTATTGCTGAACATTCTTTTTCATTGTAGTTTAATCCATATTTCTCTTTTATGAGTAAGGTTGAGTATTTTTCATATATGTCTTATCAGTTTCTAAAAGTAGGAGGATTAGGTCTTATCTGTGATATCAGTTGCAAATATTTTTTCCAGTTTTTCATTTGTCATTTAAAATTTTTTTATCATGTTATGTTTTATGATCATGTAAATTTTTTGTTTATTTGCTTTTAAAGTAGTTGATATTATCAGTCTTTGTTTCTTTGGCCTGGACTTTTTACCAAAGTTTAAAAGGTCTTTCCTGTCACTCAATTATACAAAAATTCACTGTTTCCTTCTTGTTCTTTTATAGTTTTTTTTTTTTACATTGGGTGTTTTTTTCTGGGTATTCAGTGTACATAACAACAATCTCTTTACATGTATTCTTTCCTTTGCTTTTTTCTGGAATACTTTAAAGCAAATTTCAGACATTATGTTAGTTCACTCCTTAATATTTCAGAGTACATATCAAACTAATAGGACTTATTTTTCCACATAACCACCCAGTTATTACCATACCTACCAAAATTAACAATAATGTTTTAATAACATCTAATACCCAGCTTAGGTTAAAATTTTCCTAATTATCTCAAAGATATCTTCTTCCAACTTTTTTCTCATCAGCATGCAAACAATGTCCACACATTTGGTTTTTATGTTTCTTATGTTTATTCTACAGTCCCCTGTTTTTCTCTCTATTGTGTACATAAATTTAAAGAGCAGAGGGAAAAACCAAAAGAGTGAAGTGTTGCTCTTTGAAAATGGATTTACAGCCTCCTCAATTTTTTTTTTTAGGGAAAGAAAGATGATTTAAACAAGCAAATAATATTTACCTTTGTTCAAGCACATTTAATTTTATCAAGACACGATTCATAAGAAGTAATTTGTTTTTAATAGAGCTACACTTTATGGAATTAATCTAGGATTCTTTAATTTGTTTCTTGTGAACATTCTTATCGGTTTTCATTTTACATACTTATCACTTATTTCAAATATTTTCTTATAGGAGGACAAAATAATTTCAGTAATGTATCATAATTTGGGTACAATATGTACAATGACCCTGAACCAGTGTGATTGGAATGTAGTGATCAAGGGTTGGAGTGACTTGAGATGAAGTACAAAAAGAGAAACAGATGCTAAACCATGCAGCACTTTCTAGGGCCATTAAGGATTTTAGTTTTTATCCTGAGAACAATGGTGAGTTATCAAAAAGTTTTAATTTTCCAGTTGTATACCTTTAACTCAGGAAAACCACGGATATTTCTATGTGTGATTAACTATCTCACATAAAAATATACAAGGAAATGTAATCTTTTTGGCTCTTATTCATAAACATGTGATTCAAAACAATGAATTGTTAAATAACTGAGTAAATTATGTTGTCAAGTCTGGAAACATGGCATCACATTTCTGTACACATTTCCACTGACTTCCAAAGTTTATGTAGAACTAGAATTGACCTGCTACCTGACACATTCAGAGTTCAAAAGTTTCTATTTGAAAGAAAGTTATATTTATAAAAATCAAAAGTTTATATAGTCATATTTTCAGGTGTTAACTTCAGTCCTATTCATTTTTCTTCTTACTTACCTAAAATTCATGTTTTTCTGTGATAAAAGCTGAAATCTTATCATCTTTGGTTGGTCCATTTATAAAATCCCAAGCTCTCATATGCAGATCTCCAAAGTGTTTTTTGTCACTGAATATTCACCAAATGAGATTTAAGGAACTAACAGTACACAAATAAGATGTTAGAATAAAAACACATTCTCCTGAGTCTCAATAGCGATGTGTTATTCTTGTGACAGCTGTATACATTTTTCCACACTCATTTCAGTCTCTCAAAATCAACCTCCCTGGAAGGCAGCATATTATAATAGAGAGAACATCAGGATTGAAGTCAGTTTGAACAGGATGGCAAATACAATTCTATCACATAATTGCTGTATAACTCAGAGAGTCACAATCTCTCTGAGCCTCAGTTTTAACATCTACAAAATGGCAATAATAGTACCTAATGTGCAGGGTTGCTGGAAGGATTGAGTGAGATAGTTTAAAGGAAGCATCTGGCACATAGTAGATGCTCAACATAATTATGATGTTTTCTTGTGGTATTTATCATTACTAATGATAATAGAGTGGGGAATTTGAGATATGTTAGCGTTTCCTATTATATATATTACCAGATAGCTGATAATACCTCATTGATAATTGGTATATTTAATCAACTATATATCTTGTTGATAATACCTCATTGACAGCATTTGAAGGATCATTGATTTTACTCTTTATGTCCTGGGTGCACCCACTTATAGTTTTATAAATTAGGCAATTAACATTACTAGACAAATTGATTATGCCTGATTTTGATTCATTTTCTTAATACAGTTTACTTTTATACACTTATTTTCTTACTAGAAAAGGAATATAACCATAATTGATTTTCATTTCACAGGCTACATGATAATGGATATAAAATAGAGTTATGTTAACAATCATCAAATAATTTCTCTTTGACTCTAACCCATTTGTTTTAAAAATAGGTAGTGCTTGCTCTACTTTGCTCTATTCATGGACTCAGTGCATCACAAATAGTTTTGCAAGTACTTAAGGGACATGGGTATCTCTCAGATGCCGTGAGAACCAGTCTTCTTGGCTACTATGTAATGACTCTTATTTTCTTCTCCTTGCTGTAGTAATGCCTCCTATGCCAAAAGAAGCTATGGAATCCATTGCCTCTTAAGATATCTCTCACTACTGATGACTGTTGAAGGTTATTGCTGCTGGTGGTACTCCTCCATGGTTTTTTTTTTTTTTTTTTTTGAGACGGGGTCTCACTCTGTCTCCCAGGTTGGAGTGCAGTGGGGCGTTGTCAGTTCAGTGCAACCTCCGCCTCCTGGGTTCAAGTAATCCTCCCACCTCAGCCTCTCGAGTAGCTAGGACTACAGGAGCGCACCACCATGCCTCGCTAATTTTTGTATTTTTTGTAGAGATGAGGTTTTGCCATGTTGCCCAGCTGGTCTACAGCTCCTGGACTCAAGCAGTCAGCCCACCTTGACCTCCCAAAGTGTTGGGATTACTGGCATGAGCCATTGTGCCCAGACAATATTTTTATACTAAGGCTGCTGATGTCCACTCTCCTTGCCTAGGAGGGATATCTTTGTTTTTTTCTTGATATCCCTCTATGGCTAAAACATGAATCTCTATAAATGAGCTGGATCAGTAACAAATCTAACTGAGGGATATATGCCTATTCTGTAATTTGAATCACCCTGTCTAATGGGACTGGCCAATCATCTTTGAACTCATCTTGAGTTCTGTGACTTTCTCTTCCCTAAGGACAAATTATTTAACAAAGGTTATTTGGCCCGTTAGGTAGCTAGGATCTTGGCATTGTTTTTTCAAGCAGTTCTCCAAGTATGCTCAGACATGTTAAAAGCCTAAGTGGAACAGTGGTTGAGGATATGCTGATATCCCCTACAACTTTTATTATACTCTTCCATGTATAAAAAAACTTTATAGTACATGTTACAGTCTATATCTTCACTCATGAATTGGCTCTTCCAAGAATCAGATAATAAGCAGCCCTTTATCTGGGCACTGTAAGCTTGGTTAATAGGCTCAGATTCTCACATACCAAATCACATCCTCCCCCAGGATAACCAGAGTGATAGAACAAAACTGGGCTATTATCCAGGTTTCAAATTACTCCTAGTGTGAATTAGCACTCTTTTTCAAGATGAGCATTTTCCCTTCAGTTCCTTGTTCTCTTACCTTAGAGACACAGGCCTCCAGGTTTTGTTTCTTCTAGAAATTCCTGAGGCCTCTCTAGAAAAGCCTATGTTCAAAGACCACTGTCCATTACAAAGTCTATGGGTATGGGTAGGCAGACTCCCTTACTTATGATGACAACCACTCCAATCTCATTTCTAACTCTCTCTCTAGCTTAGTGTCTCTGTTTCCCATGGAAATGAGACATAGTCAACTGTAAACTTTTCCTAGGCAAAAGACAGCCTCATCCACCAGTCTTAGTTCCCAAGCACTGGGATCACAGACATAGAAAGTCTTCTCCCCAATTAATTTATAGTTAATAAATCCTACTTGTAGACCCGCTGTATTAGATCCATCCTATTTCCTGCCAACTGTTTTTATACAGGCTGTGGCCACAAACTTTAGCCCCACTATATAGGATGTAAGTGTACCCCTGACATTCATTTCATACTGAAAGGGGAGACGCAAAGTCTACAATAGTACTCATCACCCATCTTGAAGTTACTGGTACCAAACTTGAGCACTGACAGTACTGTTGTGACTCACAGCGGTATTTCATCTGGGAATTTCCAGGTGTAGTTTCTCACTTCACTTACCCACATGCTAGATCAAGCTTATTGAATCTCCATTCTCAATAGCCAATCCAAATTAGGGGTCTGTGGACAGTCAGCCCCCCACCAAATACCCCAAAGTAAAAGGTAAACAAAGTGGGCATTTTTTAGAACCTTCATAGCCACATGATAAGAATGTTATGTGCTGGTTCCATTAACCCTTTTCTCTGCCCCCACTGCCTGCTTCCTAGTATGTACAGCAAAGTCCAATGAAATATTTTAAGTTGTGAATCATAAAGAGGATGTTCTGGATTTTTGTGTATCCACTACCTCTAGAGTACTTTGCATAATAGTCCATATATAGAGGTCACCTGGAATACTTCGCATAATAGCCTATAGAGAGAGAAGCATTTCTTCCATAAAATCTAGGCAACTGTGATTAGAGCCCTTTAATTTGGGGCATGATGGGTAAAAGAATTGGTTTCCAAGAGTCTGCTCCCACAAGTTCTGCTATCTGGTTTTAAAAACAAGAAGTCTTTGTTCATTAACTCTATGAGCTTGCCATTAAGGATTGTTTCCAGATAGGCTGCCAAATTTGGAGGTCTTTTGCAGTATGCAGAAGTTTCACAGTGTATTTAATGTCTTCATTCACCCCTGGCAAACAAAACAAAAAAAAAATCCAGGTCTAAATTAGTTCTAGGGTCTTTTCTTTTTTAATAGTCACAGCCATTGCTTAATGCTCTCACAAGTACCTGCTCATATCCTCTGAGAAAAATAAGATGCATAAAAAAATCAAATGTTTCTACTTCCCTTACATAGACCAATGCAAAATATAACTTAATTCCTGGCTTACTATTTTTAACTTTTGTCATTCTTAAAGTAAAATCTTAGTCACACTAGAAGAATATTTTTCAAAGTGCAGATCTTAATCCACTAAGCTATTAAATCAGTTCAGTTGGTCAAAAACAGTATTTTTATAAAAGGAAGTATAAGATAGAAAAATAAATATAAGAATATGTGGCATTTAGAAAAGTAATTATTTTGTGAAACTTTTGCTTCAGTTATATGTTTGTGTGTGTGTGTGTGTGTGTGTGTGTGTGTACACAAATATGTTTGCTGGATAAAGCCATAAAATGTATTTCATTTGTGGATAGTAGTCAAAATAATTGAAGATTTAAAATCCACTGTCATGGAAGAGTCACCAATCCCCAAGGTGTAGAAGGCCTTTTTCTCTTAGCTCATCATGCTGTCCTCTACCCCATATGTTGAGGCACCAAGAGTTTATGCAAGGCAACATAGCTGATAGCTACTACAGATACTGTCTGTAGGTTGTCCTAAGTTTTCAAACAGGCTTGCCTTCCCAGAGTGCCATGTACTCTGGGAATTCCAAATAAACCTAATTCCCTCCAAGGGGATAGTTTCTATTTCCCGTAAGTGGAACACTTGAGATGACATATGCACACCTTTCTTGCTAATCTTGGCCCTATAACATAGATTGAAGCCTTAAAATGATACTCAGAGAACATCACCACCCACTTATGCCTAGTGATATCTATTCTGAAAGTGGTATTCAGTCCCCTCTCCAAGACGAGCAAGTTGTCGGAGACAATAAAGACCAAGGTAGGATGTGGTATTCTGGGAGTCAGTGCCAGCAATTATACTGAAATGGCTGTTTGGGACCTTGTTGTTCATGTAGCTGGGCTGACTGAGTCCAAGAATGTATGAGACTTTGCTTGAACCTTTCTAAAGTTCTTCTTTGCATGAGTCTCTCTTGAATAGCATCACCATGGAACTAGTGCTTTTCTATAGGCATTTTCAAATTGGCTATACCCAAGTGGTTTGGGACCTTAAATAGCCAGCATCCATGTTCTTCCAGTTGCGGAAGGCATTGCTGTCATTCAGTACTACCTATACCTCAAGGTAGTTCATGTAACCCACTGCATTTCCATTAGGTGTTGTGGAGTGGCAGAAACTTTTGTTTTCCACTGACATATCCTTTTAAACTGATAAAGATCATTTTTAATTCATCTTTATCAACTCTTAGAATCTGGTGATTCATGTTCTACAAATGTAATACAGCGATTTACTAGCTTTCTGATAAGCCACTCTGTGTATCTTATATCAGCCATAGTAATTATGTATGACTTACTATGCATATGCATACATACACAAATAGAAAGTATACATATGTAGTAACTATGATAATCTGTGCCCATTGAAAAATTTCCAGTTTCTTATTCTCTCATTACCATAATAGATGAGGTATATATATATATGGAAAGAAGAATTTGGTAATAATCCCATTAGTCAATTACCTTTAAAATGATTTCTCATATCATCAGTCTGATATAGCAATTCTCCTAGATCAGTCGCTATTAACTGGGGGCAATTTTGTCATTCAAAAGACATTTAGCAATGTCTGGAGACATTTTGGCTTGTCACAACTGAGGCAGTGGTGCTACTGGCATCTAGTAAGTAGAGGGCACGGATACTGCTAAACACTATACAATGCACAAGGCAGTCCCCATCTCCCCCACACAGAGAGAGAATTATTTGGTCCTAAATGTCAGTGGTGCTGATGTTGAAAACTCCTGTTCTGATCCTAATATTTTTGTTGTTGTTGTTTTTAAGGACTTTTAACCAAAATAGGTCACCAATTAACTGCAGCTGATATCTGTTATTACATTAGCATTTAGAGCATTAACGATATAATCATTTATCATAATACACAAAAAAGGTAGAACAAGAAAGAATAATGTAGCTTTTGTATCCATGGCTGATCCTGACGTTTGACCCTGACATTTACTTAAGTCATTCAAACATAGTGGGCTATTCCTTTTTTACACACTTCTATTCATAGAGAGACTATACCATGGCAATAACCCTGATCTTCCTTCTCAAGCTTTCATTCAACTTCTCAGAACTTGAAGAGACCCCAGTCTCAAAATTAAGTTAACTTACGTCTTAGACTTGGAATTTTATAGGATAATGCCCTGGAGGAAAATAGAAAATGAGAGCTGTTTGTTTCTCTTTGTCTCTAACTTCTGGTGAGCTAATGTGTATAAGACAAGTAAGGGGAGTTTTGTTAAGGATCTATCATCAGTCTACTGCTGGAAATAATATTCTGGGACTCGAAAAGGCTAAAATTAGCCTCAATCAATGTTATATACACTACAACAGGCTTGATTCAGCTCATCTCAGTGGCAAATATGGGGGAAATATAATGAGTTCAATTTTAAATATCATGAGTTTGAGGTGCCTGTGAGTCATTCAAGCGGAGATGTCAAGTAGGTAATTGAGTATATGGAATTGCACGTATAAACAGAAATGTAGGCATCATCAGCTTATAGACAGTAATTGAATCCATGGGAATGGATGAGACCAACTAAGGAAAAAATACAGATTTAGAAGAGAAGGTAGCCCATACTGAATTCTTAGGTACTTTCAATATTTGATGTCAGATAAAGGATTATTCCAAAATCGATGACCTTTCCACTATATCATGCTGTCTCCCAGATAGAAAGTGAGCTGCATTTAATCATTCAATAAAATTTCACATTAAGCACCTCTCATATGCCAGACACTATTGTAGGCACTTGGGATACATCAGTTTAAAAAAAACTGACAAAAATCTCAGAGCTTAAAAGAGGTTATAGTCTAGTGAGTTTCTTTATAATGAAACAGGGGCACCCTTCCACAGCTCAGCTGATAGAGTGGAAGACTGTGGGGGTTATAATAAAACAAGGGTTACAGAAGGCTTTACTTCCCTGCTGTAAAGCCTCTAAACCCCTGAAACTCTCAATCCCCTCACCTTCAATATTAGAAAGAAATCTTAGACAGCATCTTATTCTTCCCTTTCCCCTACTCCAGCTTCTTTGTTTGGTACTGCATGTGACTAGTTTTTATACAAATTTGCCAGTTGCCTTGAACAAATAGATAATAGAGCAACCAAGAAATTAGAGAGACATTGACCTTGGGTGAAAGGAAAAAGAAAGAATGTCACATAAAAAGGAATGAGAGGCATTCATAATAAAATAAATAACATTATAGGCCCAAGTTAAGATAAGTGGACAAAGAAATCTCAGTTCCTAGATTGACAAAATATAACAAAGTTGGGAAAACCTAGCAACAAGGTATTAGAGAGAGTGAGGGTAAGGAGGTGGTCCTGGTTTGAAAATGCTAGCATGCATTAGGAAGGAACAATTAGAGGAAAATGTGGTAAACTCACACAGCTATCTTTCTGATTCTGTATCTTTCTTATTGTTATCTTGGATTCAGTTTTACTCCCATCAAGCAACAAATTGATGTGAGTCACACCACATAATAAATACATTGAACTAAAATTTCATGATAAAACTTTTGACATTCTCAGCACTTTAAAAATAGCTCTGTTATTTGAGGGGACTGGGATTCACTTAGGGAAAGAGCACAGTAACACATAAAGACAGCTTTTCTGCTGCTTCTTAAAATAGCATTGATTGTGTTGGGCATCTATCTGCTTTTGCACATCTCTGACATTTCTGTTCCAACCCAGGGGCCACTTTTAAACAAATATGAAACTACAGAGCTTTATGTGGCACTCCAAGGACACTTGTAAAATAATTATTTCCTTAGTTCTTTGCCATGCCCCTGACTGCCTAGAATTGAAGGCCTATACAATAAATAACCTGTCTCAGATCTCAGGAGGATATTAGTGTACAAATCAGTGAATCTCAAATGGAGATCGCATAAGAATCTCCAGGATTTAGGGACTTTTTAAAAGTACACATTCCCCCATCCTATCCCCTGTAGATTATTATGTATACCTCTTATCCTTACACATAAAAGTTACTTCTATAGAGAGACAATATTACTTATGAGAAAAGGTTTCATTCCTTAGGTTAGGAAGGTAGAAAGGTTGAAGAATACTGACGTGTTTGACATTTTTAAATATATTCCATAGATACATCTCTCTAACAAACTCCCAGTTCCAGCAGTAGTGAGTTTTCTATATCAGTACTGTTTCCAGACTAAAACAAACAAATCATCAAAAGTCTAGAGATGGAATTCCTCAGCCAGAACTGTCCAGTAGAACATTCTACCTGTCTGTCTAGAACTTGATTTAAGATTCAAGGGTACTGGCTATCAGGTATTGTTCCAGTTACTATTTCTATGTGACAAGTCACCCAAACTTAGTGGCATACAACAATTGATTCATTAATCTCAGATTCTGAATCAGGGTCAGAAATTTGGAAAGGACACAGCAGGGATGGATTGTTTGTGCTCCACAGTGTCTAGGGCCTCAGCTAGGAAGACTCAAAAGTCTGAAGGCTAATATTGTCTAAAGCTTCACTCACTTCCATGTCTGGCAGTTGAGGATGCTGAGTATCAGTCATGATCTCAGCTGGGGCTGTCAGCTGAAACACCTATGTGTGACTTCTTCATGTAGCTGCTTGGAGTTCATCACAGTATAGCAAATGGGTTACAAGAACAAGTTTCCAAAGAGTCATGGAGTAAACTAGCTTTGGAAGTCACAAAACATTACTTGTACCAAGTCACAATTACACTCAGATTGAATGGAGGGGAACGCAGACCCCATTTCTTGATGGAAGAAATGTCGAAGTCACATGTTCAAAAGAGCATGTGGGATTGGAGATATACAGTGTAGTCATCTTTGGAAACTACAATTTGCTATAATCTGCCCACTAGGTACAATAACTAATATCCTCCCAACATTCAAAGTATTCTAATTCCCTCCTCCAAGACCTCTAAGTCGCATAATGACAGCAGCTCAACTACAAGGTCTCATTTTCTATATTAGGTCCAGGTGCAGATGAAGATCCTAAGGTTTGATTCTTTTGAGTACAGTTCCATAAGCACCTCTTGACCTGAAGACATGCAAGCTAAAGTTACAAGTTACCTGCTCTACACATTCAACATAAAATTATGGGGCCAGGCCTAGAATAATTGCCATAGGCCCTCTCATGGAAATGGAAGAGGGGATGGAAAGACTGCAGCAGTCACTAGTTCATAACAATTCTGAAATATAGCTAAGTACATATTGCCAGTTCCTTGTTTTGTCCTACTGCTTGAGATCTACTCTCTATTACTTCTCACTCTGCCTCTAGTCTCTTGGTTCCATTTTCTGTGTCATCTTTCCTTGTTTCATAAAAAAAGCTTATGTTTGCAGCTGAGTGGTTTTTTTTTTTTTTTCAGTTTGTTTTCTCCTGTAGTAGTCTGGAAGTCCAAAGCACTTCATTTTGTACTATCTCTATCCTTTTAAGTCCAACCTATTGCACAATTCCTTGAAAAATTTTCTGTGTACCAATTTATAATCCACTCTATCAGACAAAAGCCATAATAAGAGATTTCCATTGTTTTTTCTACCTTGGGCTCCCTGTGAGGCTGCTGTGGTATAACCCCCTTAAACTTAAAAGCTCCATCACTTAGCAAAAAGAGATCTGTATCTGTCCTTAAGATCCTTAGAAGGCCTTTGTTCTGTCTGAAAGGTTCTAGGAGGCACTGCTTTACATATTTTTGAGGCTTTAACAAAGAGTCCCAACCTGGTTTTTATCTTTAGCACAGAGCCTTTTTTGATTTGAGAATCTCTGTATGGAGAGACTGGGAAAGTGAAATAGTATTGTATTCAAACTTACCAAGTACTGCATTCTTTATAATAAGAGTCAAACCTTTAGCTCGTATATTTCCTTTTGCGTTTTATCATATGCAGTGAAAAGAAGCCAAGTGGTATTTTACACATCTCTATAGCTAGTTCATCAAGTTTACTAGGTGTATCCTATTTTTCATGTTACCACAGAAGGGTGTTGCTGACTTTCTGCTACTAAAGAACAAGGTCTCCCTTTCACAGAGCTTCCATTTTTTCTTACTTTCCTTTAAGCCCTCACCAACAGCCCCTTTAAGGCTCTGAAGGCTTTTTTCTATCACTCTCTTCAAGAGTCTTTCGTACTCCTCTGCTTCCTGGTCCACACATTTTCAGGTTTTCTTATAACAGCACTCTACTTACAGGTACCAAATTATATTTCAGTTAGCAATAATTGAGTAACAAAGCATTCTAAACTTAGAGGCACAAAACAACAACAATTTTATTATGCTTACAGATTCTTTGGGCTTAGAATTTGGAAAGAACATAACAGAAATGTCTTGGTTTTGCTCCAAAATGTCTAAGGTCTCAGCTGGGAATACTCAAAGACTAGGGGATAGGAGCATTTGAAGGCTTATTCATTCATATATCTGGCAGTAAATGCTAGCCATTAGTTGGGCCAGAACTCCTACCTGTGGTTTTTCCATATCACTGATTGAAGACTTTATTTATAGAAATAATTTTGAGGGTACTCATTAACATGTGTCCAGGGGTCAGTCGTCACAACTTGGAACATCAGATCAGTAAGGAAGCACAGCTCATATTTCACACAATGGGCAATATTCTTGGGGCAATTCAAGTTCAAACACGCACATACTAGGTAACCAAAACTTCTGGGTAGATGCATTATCATGCCATCCAGGATGACATGGGGTAGCAGGAGCCACTTAACCCCAGAAGATCCTCTACTCTGGAAATTTTATAATTGTCTATCAACAGTTGGAAATAACTCATCAGATATAAACAATCAGCAGATGATTATATATGTCCTTGCTTGAGGTCCTCTGTGAAAGACACCAAAGTTGTAGACTGAACTAGGAACACATTCCACAGAATGATTGGTTGAAGATGTCCACTCAAAAAGTCTGCACACAAGCACTATTTACAATAACAAACACATGGAACCAACCCAAATGCCCAACAATGATAGGCTGGATAAAGAAAATGTGGTACATATACACCATGGAATACTATGCAGCCATAAAAAAGAATGAGATCATGTCCTTTGCAGGGATATGGATGAAGCTGGAAGCCATCATCTTCAGCAAACTAACACAGGAACAGAAAACCAAGCACCACATATTCTCACTAACAAGTGGGAGTTGAACAATGAGAACACATGGACACAGGGAGGGGAACATCACACACCAGGGCCAGTTGTGAGGTGAGGGGCAAGGGGAAGGAGAGCATTAGGAAAAATAGGTAATCAATGTGGGGCTTAAAACCTAGATGACAGGTTAGTAGGTGCAGCTACCCATCATTGCACATGTATACCTATGCAACAAACCTACACATCCTGGAACTGAAAGTAAAATAAAAAATAATAAATAAATAAAAAGCAAGAAAAGAAAAAGAAAAAAGAAGTCTGCACACAAGTTATTTGCCTCTGGACATTACCACAGGGTCTTGTTAATACACTGATAGTAAATTTTCTGGGATTTCTATTGATCTTATATCAGGAATGATGTCTTCAATATGCCACAAATTTTCCTGAATCAAGAAACACCCAACAAATCCTAAACCTGCTAAGATATCTTTATCAAGGTTGATATGGGATTGAGAATTGAGATTATACAGTAAATACAATTCTGAATGGGCTGTCTTCATCTACAACAACATCACAAGCATTTTTTCATGTAATTGCATTATTTTCATAACTAGAAATATTAAATTCAACAGTTTTCCCTTAAGATTTAATTGCATACAAATATTTGAATGATAAAAAACTCAAGTATGTCAATAAATTATATCTACATTTCAAATCTCAGAGATGAATATTGTATAGGGATTCATTTTGAAGTAAAGAAAAAGTACTCCTTTTTAAATTAATACATTAAAAGTTGTGCTTTTATCATAAATATATTTTTTAGTATTAAAAAACTGACTATGGCTCATGCCTGTAATCCCAACACTTTAGGAAGCTGAGAGGGGCCATGGTTTGAGCCCAGGAGTTTGAGACCAGACTGGACAACATAGTGAGACACTGTCTCTATCAAAAAAAAAAAATAGAATTTCACAGGTAAGTTAAGTATTAACCAAGAGAGACAAAATTATCCTAAAACTTTTGTTTACCTCCTTAACTACCATTTGAATTCTCCCTCTGGCTCAAATGGTTATTGATTCATCTTATCACCCAAGATGCTTTGGCCCTCTGGGTAGGACTCTTATTGAACTCTCCACAACTTAAATAGGACATGATCGTCATATTATGAAACCCATAGTTTTAGAAGCACTACACGTATTGATAGAGATGAGCTGACAGCATTTGTGCAGACTTTTCTTTTTTTAAATTTTTATTTTTATTTGAAGTTCTGGGGTACATGTGCAGGATGTGCAGGTTTGTTACATAGGTGAAAGTGTGCCATGGTGGTTTGCTGCACCTATCAACTCATCACCCAAGCATTAAGCCCAGCATGCATCACCTATTTTTCCTAATGCTCTTTCTCCCCACACTCTATCCCCCAATAGGCCCCAGTGTGTGTTGTTCCCCTCCCTGTGCTCATGTGTTTCCATTGTTCAGCTCACACTTACAAGTGAGAACATGCAGTGCTTGGTTTTCTGTTGCTGCGTTAGTTTGCTGAGGATAATGGCTTCCAGCTCTATCCATGTCCCAGCAAAGAACATGGTCTCATTCCTTTTTATAGCTGCATAGTACTCCATGGTGTATATGTACCACATTTTCTTTATCCAGTCTATTATTGATGGACATTTGGGTTGATTCCATGTCTCTGCTATTGTGAATAGTGCTGCAGTGAACATACACGTGCATGTATGTTTGTAATAGAATGATTTATGTTCCTTTGGATATATACCCAGTAATGAGATTTCTGGACCAAATGCTAGCTACACATTATACAAAAATTAACTCAAGATGGATTAAAGACTTAAATGTAAAACCCAAAACTATAAAAACCCTAGAAGAAAATCTAGGCAATACCATTCAGGACATAGGCACAGGCAAAGATTTCATGACGAAAACTCCAAAAGCAATTACAACAAAAGCAAAAATTGACAAATGGGATCGAATTAAACTAAAGAGCTTCTGCACAGCAAAAGAAACTATCCTCAGAGTGAACAGGCAACCTACAGAGTGGGAGAAAATTTTTGCAGCCTATCCATCTGACAAAGGTCTAATATCCAGAATCTACAAACAACTTAAACAAATTTACAATAAAAGAAAACCATTAAAAAGTGGGCAAAGGACATGAACAGATAATTCTCACAAGAAGACATTCATGTGGCCAACAAACATATGAAATAAAGCTCAACATCACTGATCATCAGAGAAATGCAAATCAAAACCACAATGAGATACCATCTCACGCCAGTCAGAATGGTGATTATTAGAAAGTCAAGAAACAACAGATGCTGGCAAGGTTGCAGAGAAATAGGAACACTTTTACATTGTTGGTGGGAATGTGAATTAGTTCAACCATTGTGGAAGAAGGTATGCAGTCTTTTCATTAGGACAACACTGGAAGGTAACTAAGCAATTTTTGGAAGAAAGCAATTATAGAACTATTGGTTTTAATCAAATGTCTTACTCATACATCTCAGGACACAACATTTGCACATTTTTTTTCAGGTATATAATGCCATTTAAAACATTTTACTTGGCTGGGCCTGGTGGCTCACACCTGTAATCCCAGCACTTTGGGAGGCCGAGGCAGGCAGATCACAAGGTCAGGAGATCGAGACCATCCTGGCTAACATGGTGAAGCCCCGTCTCTACTGAAAATACAAAAAAAGTAGCCGGGCATGGTGGCGGGCACCTGTAGTCTCAGCTACTTGGGAGGCTGAGGCAGGAGAATGGCGTGAACCCAGGAGGCAGAGCTTGCAGTGAGCCGAGATTGCGCCACTGCACTCCAGCCTGGGTGACAGAGCAAGACTCCGTCTCAAAAAAAAAAATTTATTTTACCTGGGTCAGTTGATAAAATTTTTTATATAACTCCAGGAAACTCAGGCCTCATAATTCTGAGGAAGGTGGAATATTTTAAATATCCTATTTGATGGAAAATATATAGACTAGGTCATTCTGTCCATAGGTCCCTATGCCATACCTATGTTGGATTAGTATTAGCACTCTGGAGGGTATGTGAGTTCTTGTTTATGAGGAGACGCCAATACTTTCAAGGTAGGGGACAGACATTGTTTAAAAGTTCCAGTTTTGGAAAAGATGTGCTATGGAATAATGCTGCCCTAACCATGACATTCAAGGAAACGCTTTCGACACTTTTATGTGAACAACTGTTATAGATCTCTAAGGCTGGTCACCTGGGATCTGTATATACAGCTGAAAGGCTACCCGGTCAAATGCATCCACCTCTTAGACATCCTGTTTCAGTCTAGCACCAGCTATGACTGAGTAAATACACTAGCAGAAAACACCTTATTGCAGAAAATTCAGCCACTTTATGTAAAAGTGTGCCAGGCCCACTGGCAAGAAATGCTGCAGCTACTCAGTAATGATAAAATCAGCTAAGCCCTCCTGCTTTAGCTTTATCTAAATTAGGGGGGATCTTGGCTGCCCATATACCCACACACTGGCAGATTTCAAGGCAATGGGAAACTTAATAATGGTCCAGCAGACCCAGACTCACTTCAAACCTCTGCCAGGCTTTGCATACATGTAAAGGCAATCTGCTTCCAAGAGAGACCCACTATCTATAAGAATCTACTAGGGTAGAAAAATTCATGGAGGTTCTCATGCTCATGTTGGTACTTAAAACTTAATAGTTCTAGGCCCATAAGTGAACTATAATCAGAAGCATCCTGAACTACGAGCTTCATCTTAAACAACTGATAGTATCAGTGCCCACAGGTTATTCAGGGGTGCCTGCTTTATCAATCACACTGACAAGCAGAGTGCAAGACAAGAAATCAATCTTCGGAGAAGCCATCTCTCAACAGAAGACAGAAGAGTTACCCCATTTATTCAGTTATTAAATAGATAATTATTGTAAACTTACTATGAGATAGGCCCTTGGGATACAGTGGTGAGCAAAGTAGACAAAAATCCTTGCCCTATGGAGCTTACTTTCTAGAGCAGGAGATAGAAAATGAACCAAATAAATAAGTAAATTAAATTGCTTATTGAAAGTGATAAGTGCTGTGGAGATAAATAAAGCAAATAAAGGGAATACAGAGATTATTTTTCAAATAAGTCATCAGGAAAGGTCTCACTGAGACACTAATATTTAACCAACGACTTCAAGTTTGAAGTTGGAAGACCCATAGGTGTGTAGAGCTCTAGACAGAGGGACCAAGAATTGGGAATTTCAACTCTGATTTAAACTTTAGGCTGAGGCCTCAGTCATTTTGATTAAATAAAAAGTGAATCAGCATGATGGTAGCTGTTGCTAATATGTGTTAGCCTGGCTTCACTTCTGTCCATACCTTGGCCTACCTTGATTTAGATCACATTCACATAGTACAATGTCTGCTCCCATTACTACTTTGGAGGCAAACATATTGCAGGAGGATACCAGCCACACCAATAACTACAATGACCATTTGATTTTTAGAAAACAAAATGACATTGAGTATTTTGGAGAACAGGTTGACAAATTCTATTCCATAAGCCAAACTCATCCATTTTTTTAATTGAAATTTTTGTTGAGAGAACTATGGATTCATATGGAGTTGTAGGAAATATTAGAGTGATACCATATACTTTACCCAGTTTCCCCCAGTGGTAATGACTTTCAAAACTATATCACAAACAGGCTATTTACAAGAGACAATCCTCTGACCTTGTTCACATTTCTACATATTTTTATGCACTCATTTGTTTGTGTGTGTGTGTTAAGTTCTAAGAAATTTTATCACAAATATAGGTTCATGTATACACTATCACAGTCTAGATACAAACCAACTCCATTATGACAAGGATCCATTATGTTGTGTTTTTCTAACTACTGCCCCCAGCTCCTTCCCAATTACTACCCTGTTCATAATCCCTGGCAATCTGTTATTTATTTCTAAAGTTTTGTTATTTAAAGAATGTTTTAAAAAGGATTCACAGAATATGTGATCATTTGGGGTTGGTTTTTTTCACTCGACTTAATTCCCTGGAAATTCATTCAAGCTATTGGATGTAGCAATTGTTCATTCCTTTACATTGCTGTGTAGTATTCCATGGTATAGATGTTCCATAGCTTAACCATTAACACATTGAAGGACATTTGAGTTTTTACTGTTTGTGGCTATTATGAATAAAGCTGCTACGAACATTCCTGTACAGCTTTATGTGTGAACATAAGTTTTAACTCTCCAGGGAAAAATGACCCAGAGGGCAATTGCTGAGTGGCTGTGCCATTTTACATTCTCACCTGCAACATATCCATGATGCATTTCTCCACATTCTTGCCAGAATTTTCTAATATCTCTAATTTATATTTTATAATTATATTATATAATTATATAAATTATAATATCTATAATTTATATATTATATAATCAGCCACTCTCTAATTACATATTATATAATCAGCCACTCTCTGATTACTTCTAATTTTCTAATGGGTTGTAAGGAGTTTTTTGGTTAAGTTTTAAGAGTATATATATATATATATATGTGTATGTGTGTGTGTATATATATATATATATATATATATATACTGATATATACTGATATCCTTTCTTTTAGGCATATACCCGGCAGTGGGATTGCTGGATCATACTTTTAGTAGCTCTATTTTTGGTAGCTCTATTTTTAGTCATTTGAGGAACTTCCAAACTGTTTCCTACAGTGGTTGTACTAATTTACATTCCCACCACCAGTGTACAAGGGTTCCATTTTCTTTACATCCTCACCAGCATTTGTTATTTGCTGTTGTTTTTGGATATAAGCCATTTTAACTGAGGTGAAATGATATCTCATTGTAGTTTTGATTTGAATTTCTCTGATAATCAATGATGTTGAGCACCTTTTCATATGCCTGTTTGCCATTTGTACGTCTCCTTTTGAGAAATGTCTATTCTAATCTTTTGCTCATTTTTAATTGGATTATTATACTTTTTTTTCCTATAGAGTTGTCTGAGCTCCTTATATATTCTGGTTATGAATCCCTTGTCAGATGGGTAGTTTGCAAATATTTTCTCCAATTCTGTGGGTTATCTGTTTACTTTGTTGATTGTTTCTTTTGCTGTGCAAAAGCTTTTTAACTTGATGTGATCCCATTTGTCCACGTTTGTTTTGGTTGCCTGTGCTTGTGGGAGATAATGCTCAAGAAATTTTTGCCTGGTCTGTTGTCGTGGGGAGTTTCTCCAGTGTTTCTTTGTATTAGTTTCACAGCTTGAAGGGTCAGATTTAAGTCTTTAATCCATTTTGATTTGATTTTTGTATATGGCAAGAGATAGGAGTCAAGTTTCATTATTCTGCATGCTGATATCCAGATTTCCCAGCACCATATATTGAAGAGACTGTCTTTTCCCCAGTGTATATTCTTGGCAGCTACCTTAAAAATGAGTTCACTGTATATGTATGGATTAACTCTGAGTTTTCTATTCTATTCCTTTGGTGTATATGTCTGTTTTTATGCCAGTACCATGTTGTTTTGATTACTAAAGCTCTGTAGAATTTAAAGTGAGGTAATAGGATTCCTCCAGTTTTGTTCTTTTTGCTTAGGATAATTTCGGCTATCCTGGGTCTTCTGTGGTTCCCTATAAATTTTAGAATTTTTTTCTATTTCTGTGAAGAATGCCATTGGTATTTTGATAGGGGTTGCATTAAGTCTGTAGATTGCTTAGGGTAGTGTGGACATTTTAATAATATTGATTCTATGAGGTATTTTTCCTTTTTTTTGGTATCCTCTTCAATTGATTTCATCTTGTTTTATAGTTTTCATTACAGAGCTCTTTCACTTTTTTGGTTAAGTTAATTCCTAGGTATTTAATTTTATGTGTGGCTATTATAAATGGGATTACTTTTTTAAACTTCATTTTCAGATTGTATGTAGATTTTGTATCCTGCAACTTTTCTGAATTTTTTAATCAGTCTAATAGTTTTATTCTGGAGTCTTTAGTTTTTTTCAAATATAAACAAGGAGATACATATATATATATATATATATATATATATATATATATATATATATATATATATATATAGAGAGAGAGAGAGAGAGAGAGAGAGAGAGAGAGGCAGAGTTTCGCTCTGTCACCCAGGCTGGAGTGCAGTGGCTTGATCTTGGCTCACTGCAACCTTTGCCTCCCAGGTTCAAGCAATTCTTGTGCCTCAGCCTCCTGAGTAGCTGGGATTACAGGCGTGGGCCACAACACCTAGCTAATTTTTGTATTTTTATTCGAGATTAGGGTTTCATCATGTTGGCCAGGCTGGTCTTGAACTTCTGGCTTTAAGTGATCTACCCACCTCAGCCTTCCAAAGTGCTGGGATTACAGGTGTGAGCCACCAAGCCCAGCCTGATCTTTTTAGTGTATTATTGAACTCAGTTTTGAAGTATTTCGTTGAGGATTTTTGCATCAATATTCAAGAGAGATATTGGCCTATAGTTTTCTTTTTTTATTTTTTTATTTTTTTTAATTATTATTATACTTTAAGTTTTAGGGTACATGTGCACAATGTGCAGGTTAGTTACGTATGTATACATGTGCCATGCTGGTGTGCTGCACCCATTAACTCGTCCTTTAGCATTAGGTATATCTCCCAATGCTATCCCTCCCCCCTCCCCCCACCCCACAACAGTCCCCAGAGTGTGATGTTACCCTTCCTGTGTCCAAGTGTTCTCATTGTTCAATTCCCATCTAAGAGTGAGAACATGTGGTGTTTGGTTTTTTGTTTTTGCGATAGTTTACTGAGAATGATGATTTCCAATTTCATCCATGTCCCTACAAAGGACATGAACTCATCATTTTTTATGGCTGCATAGTATTCCATGGTGTATATGTGCCACATTTTCTTAACCCAGTCTATCATTGTTGGACATTTGGGTTGGTTCCAAGTCTTTGCTATTGTGAATAGTGCCACAATAAACATACGTGTGCATGTGTCTTTAAAGCAGCATGATTTATAGTCCTTTGGGCATATACCGAGTAATGGGATGGCTAGGTCAAATGGTATTTCTAGTTCTAGATCCCTGAGGGATCACCACACTGACTTCCACAATGGTTGAACTAGTTTACAGTCCCACCAACAGTGTAAAAGTGTTCCTATTTCTCCACATCCTCTCCAGCACCTGTTGTTTCCTGACTTTTTAATGATTGCCATTCTAACTGGTGTGAGATGGTATCTCATTGTGGTTTTGATTTGCATTTCTCTGATGGCCAGTGATGGTGAGCATTTTTTCATGTGTTTTTTGGCTGCATAAATGTCCTCTTTTGAGAAGTGTCTGTTCATATCCTTTGCCGACTTTTTGATGGGGTTGTTTGTTTTTTTCTTGTAAATTTGTTTGAGTTCATTGTAGATTCTGAATATTAGCCCTTTGTCAGATGAGTCGGTTGTGAAAATTTTCTCCCATTTTGTAGCTTGCCTGTCCACTCTGATGGTAGTTTCTTTTGCTGTGCAGAAGCTCTTTAGTTTAATTAGATCCCATTTGTGAATTTTGGCTTTTGTTGCCATTGCTTTTGGTGTTTTAGACGTGAAGTCCTTGCCCATGCCTATGTCCTGAATGGTAATGCCTAGGTTTTCTTCTAGGGTTTTTATGTTTTTAGGTCTAACGTTTAAGTCTTTAATCCATCTTGAATTGATTTTTGTATAAGGTGTAAGGAAGGGATCCAGTTTCAGCTTTCTACATATTAAAAGGTATTAAATTAGGAAAAGAGGAAGTCAAATTGTCCCTGTTTGCAGACGACATGATTGTATATCTAGAAAACCCCATTGTCTCAGCCCAAAATCTCCTTAAGCTGATAAGCAACTTCAGCAAAGTCTCAGGATATAAAATCAATGTACAAAAATCACAAGCATTCTTATACACCAATAACAGACAAACAGAGAGCCAAATCATGAGTGAACTCCCATTCACAATTGCTTCAAAGAGAATAAAATACTTAGGAATCCAACTTACAAGGGACGTGAAGGATCTCTTCAAGGAGAGCTACAAACCACTGCTCAATGAAATAAAACAGGATACAAACAAATGGAAGAACATTCCATGCTCATGGGTAGGAAGAATCAATATCGTGAAAATGGCCATACTGCCCAAGGTAATTTATAGATTCAATGCCATCCCCATCAAGCTACCAATGACTTTCTTCACAGAATTGGAAAAAACTACTTTAAAGTTCATATGGAACCAAAAAAGAGCCTACATCGCCAAGTCAATCCTAAGCCAAAAGAACAAAGCTGGAGGCATCATGCTACCTGACTTCAAACTATACTACAAGGCTACAGTAACCAAAACAGCATGGTACTGGTACAAAAACAGAGATATAGATCAATGGAACAGAACAGAGCCCTCAGAAATAATGTCGCATATCTACAACTATCTGATCTTTGACAAACCTGAGAAAAACAAGCAATGGGGAAAGGATTCCCTATTTAACAAATGGTGCTGGGAAAACTGGCTACTTTTCTTTTTTTTGATGTGACTTTTTCTGGTTTGGGAATCAGGGTAATAATAGCCTTGTAGAATGAGGTTGGAAGTATTCCTTGTGCCTCAATTTATCAGAATAGTTTGAATAGGATTGGTGTTAGTATTTAGTTAAATTTTTCATAGAATTCAGCACTGAAACCATCAGCTTTTCTTTACTGGGATACTTTTTCTTACGGCTTCAATTTTGTTACTTGTTGTTCTGTTCAGGGTTTGGATTTCTTCCTTGTTCAATTTTTGTAGGTTGTATTTGTCTAGGAATTTGTTCATTTCTTCTAGATTTTCCAATTTATTGGCATATAGTTGCTCATAGTAGCTACTAATGATCCTTCGAATTTCTACAGTGTCAATTGTAATGCCTCCTTTTTCATTTTCCATTTAATTGAATCTTCTCTCTTTTTTTCAGTTAGTCTGCCCATAGGTTCGTCAATTTGGTTTAACTTTTCAAAAAAGCAACTTTCTGTTTCATTGATCTTTTGTTTTGCTTTCTTCATTTCAAAATAATTTATTACTGCTTTTATATTTTTAATTTTCATTTTGTTTTGTTTTTGTTTTTGTTATTGTTTTGTTTTGTTTTGCAAGACAGAGTTTCACTCTCAGTGCCCAGGCTGGAGTGCAATGGCACGATCTCAGTTCACTGCAACCTCCGCCTCCTGGGTTCAAAGCGATTCTCCTGCCTCAGCCTCCCTAGTGGCTGAGATTACAGGTGTCCGCCACCATGCCCAGCTAATTTTTTGTATTTTTAGTAGAGACGGGGTTTCATCATGTTGGCTAGGCTGGTCTCAAACTCCTGACCTCAGGTGATCCACCCGCCTCGGCCTCCCAAAGTGCTGGGGTTACAGGTGTGAGCCACCGCACCCAGCACATGTGTTTTTACAGTTCCCAAAATTCCTTATGTTATGGATTTCTAATTTTATTCCATTGTGTTCAGAGAGGATGCTTGATATTATTTCAATTTTAGAAAACGTTTTAAAACTTGTTTTGTGACCTAACATATGGTCTATTCTTGAGAATCATTTATGTGCTGAGGAAAAGAATGTGTATTCTGCAGCCGATGAATGAAGTGTTCTGTAAATATCTGTTAGAATCATTTGGTCTATATAGTGCAGATTAAGTCTAATGTTTCTTTTTTGATTTTCTGTCTGGAAGATCTGTACAATGCTGAGAGTGGGGTGTTGAGGTCTTCAGCTATGACTGTATGGGGACCTATCTGTTGCTTTAGCCCTAGTAATATTTGCTTTATAAATCCAGGTGCTCCAGGTTGGGTGCATAAATGTTTAACATTGTTAAAGCATCTTGCTGAATTGGTGACTTTATGATTATATAGTAACCATCTTTGTCTCTTGTTATAGTTTTGTCTTGAAATCTATTCTGTCTGATGTAAGTATAGCTACTCCTGTGCTTTTTCAGTTTCCATTGGCATGGAATATATATTTCCATCCCTTTATGTTCACGCTATGTGTGTCTTCATAGGTGAATTGTATTTCTTTCAGGCAACAGATCAATGGGTCTTGTATTTTTTATTATTATACTTCAAGTTCTGGGGTATATGTGCAAAACATGTAGATTAGTTACATAGGTATACATGTGCCATGGTGCTTTGCTGCACCCGTCAAACCATCATCTACATTAGATATTTCTCCTAATGCTATCCCTTCCCTAGCGCTCCCCACCCCCTGACAGGGCCTAGTGTGTGATGCTCCTCTCCCTGTGTCCATGTGTTCAACTCCCTCTTATGAGTGAGAACATGCAGTGTTTGGTTTTCTGTGCTTGTGTTAGTTTGCTGAGAATGATGTTTTCCAGCTTCATCCATGTCCCTGCAAAGGACATGAACTCATCCTTTTTTATGGCTGCATAGAATTCCATGGTGTATATGCACCACATTTTTTTAATCCACTCTACCATTGGTGGACATTTGGGTTGGTTCCAAGTCTTTGCTATTGACAACAGTGCTACAGTAAACATACAAGTGCACGTGTCTTTATAATAGAATGATTTATAATCCTTTGGGTATATACCTAGTAATGAGATTGCTGGGTCAAATGGTGTTTCTAGTTCTAGATCCTTGAGGAATTGCCACACTGGATTCCACAACGGTTGAACTAATTTACACTCTCACCAACAGTGTAAAAGTGTTCCTATTTCTCCACATCCTCTCCAGCATCTGTTGTTTCCTCACTTTTTAATGATCATCATTCTAACTGGCATGAAATGGTATCTCATTGTGGTTTTGATTTGCATTTCTCTCATGACCAGTGATGATAAGCATTTTTGCATGTCTGTTGGCTGCATAAATTTTGTCTTTTGAGAAGTGTCTGTTCATATCCTTTGCCCATTTTTTGATGGGATTGTTTTTTTTTCTTGTAAATTTGTTTAAGTTCTTTGTAGATTCTAGATATTAGCCCTTTGTCAGATGAGTAGATTGCAAAATTTTTCTCCCATTCTGTAGGCTGCCTGTTCGCTCTAATGGTAGCTTCTTTTGCTGTGCAGAACCTCTTTATTTTAATTAGATCCCATTTGTCAATTTTGGCTTTTGTTGCCATTGCTTTTGGTGATTTAGTCATGAAGTCTTTGCCCATGCCTATGTCCTGAATGGTATTGCCTAGGTTATCTTCTAGGGTTTTTATGGTTTTAGGTCTTACATTTAAGCCTTTAATCCATCTTGAATTAATTTCTGTATAAGGCGTAAGGAAGGGATCCAGTTTCAGCTTTCTGCATATGGCTAGCCAGTTCTCCCAACACCATTTATTAAATAAAGAATCCTTTCCCAATTGCTTGTTTTTGTCATGTTTGTCAAAGATCAGATGGTTGTAGGTGTGTGGTGTTATTTCTGAGGACTCTGTTCTGTTCCATTGGTCTATATATCTGTTTTGGTACCAGTACCATGCTGTTTTTGTTACTGTTGCCTAGTAGTAGTTTGAAGTCAGGTAACGTGATGCACACAGCTTTGTTCTTTTTGCTTAGGATTGTCTTGGCTATGCAGGTTCTTTTTTGGTTCCATATGAAAGTTCAAGTAATTTTTTCCAGTTCAGTGAAGAAAGTCAATGGTAGCTTGATGGGGATAGCATTGAATCTATAAATTACTTTGGGCAGTATGGCCATTTTCATGATATTGATTCTTCCTATCCATGAGCATGGAATGTTTTTCCATTTGTTTGTGTCCTCTCTTATTTCCTTGAGCAGTGGTTTGTAGTTCTCTTTGAACAGGTCCTTCACATCCCCTGTAAGTTGGATTCCTAGGTATTTTATTCTCTTTGTAGCAATTGTGAATGGGAGTTCACTCATGATTTGGCTCTGTGTTTGTCTGTTATTGGTGTATAGGAATGCTAGTGATTTTTGCACATCGATTTTGTATCCTGAGACTTTGCTGAAGTTGCTTATCAGCTTAAGGAGATTTTGGGCTGAGACGATGGGGTTTTCTAAATATACAATCTTGTCATCTGCAAACAGAGACAATTTGACTTCCTTTTTTCCTAATTGAATATCTTTTATTTCTTTCTCTTGCCTGATTGCCCTAGCCAGAACTTCCAATACTATGTGGAATAGGAGTGGTGAGAGAGGGCATCCTTGTCTTGTGCCGGTTTTCAAAGGGAATGCTTCTAGTTTTTGCCCACTTAGTATGATATTGGCTGTGGGTTTGTCATAAATAGATCTTATTATTTTTAGAAATGTTCCATCAATACCTAGTATATTGAGCGTTTTTGGCATGAAGCTAAATATCTTTTCTGTATCAATTTAAATAATCACGTGGTTTTTGTCTTTGGTTCTGTTTATGTGATGGATTATGTTTATTGATTTGCTTATGTTGAGCCATCCTTGCCTCCCAGGGATGAAGCCAACTTGATCATGGTGGATAAGCTTTTTGATATGCTGCTGGATTTGGTTTGCCAGTATTTTATTGAGGATTTTTGCATTGATGTTCACTAAGGGTACTGTCCTATAATTTTCTATTTTGCTGTGTCTCTGCAGGTTTTGGTATCAGGATGATGCTGACCTCATAAGATGAGTTAGGGAGGATTCCCTTTTTTTCTATTGTTTGGAATAGTTTCAGAAGGAATGGTACCAGCTCCTCTTTGTACCTCTAGTAGAATTTGGCTGTGAGTCCGTCTGGTCCTGGACTTCTTTTGGTTTGTAGGCTATGAATTGCTGCCCCAATTTCTGAGCTTGTTATTGGTCTATTCAGGGATTTGACTTCTTCCTGGTTTAGTCTTGGGAGGGTGTATGTGTCCTGGAACTTATCCATTTCTTCTAGATTTCCTAGCTTATTGGCGTAGAGGTGTTTATAGTATTCTCTGATGTTAGCTTGTATTTCTGTGGGATCGGTGGTGATATCCCCTTTATCATTTTTTATTGTGTCTATTTGATTCTTCTCTCTTTTCTTCTTTATTAGTCTGACTAGCAGTCTATCTATTTTGTTGATCTTTTCAAAAAACTAGCTCCTTGATTCATTGATTTTTTGAAGGGTTTTTTATGTCTCTATCTCCATCAGTTCTGCTCTGGTGTTAGTTATTTCTTGTCTTCTGCTAGCTTTTGAATGTGTTTGCTCTTGTTTCTTTTGTTCTTTTAGTTGTGATGTTAGGGTGTTGATTTTAGATCTTTCTTTCTTTCTCTTGTGAGCATTTGGAGCTATAAATTTCCCTCTACACACTGCTTTAAATGTGTCCCAGAGATTCTGGTACATTGTGCCTTTGTTCCCCTTGGTTTTAAAGAACATCTTTATTTCTGCCCTCATTTCATTATTTACCCAGTAGTCATTCAGGAGCTGGTTGTTCCGTTTCCATGTAGTTGTGCAGTTTTGAGTGAGTTTCTCAATCCTGAGTTATAATTTGATTTCACTGTGGTCTGAGAGACTGTTATGATTTTCATTCTTTTGCCTTTGCTGAGGAGTGTTTTACTTCCAATTATGTGGTCAATTTTAGAATAAGTGTGATGTGGTGCTGAGAAGAATGTGTATTCTGTTGATTTGTGGTGGAGAGTTCTGTAGATGTCTTTTAGGTCCACTTGGTCCAGAGCTGAGTTCACATCCTGGATATCCTTGTTAATTTCTGTCTCATTGATCTGTCTATTGTTGACAGCGGGGTGTTAAAGTCTCTCACTACTATTGTGTGAGAGTCTAAGTCTCTTTGTAGGTCTCTGAGAACTTGCTCTATCAATCTGGGTGCTCCTGTTTTGGGTGCATATATATTTAGGATAGTTAGCTCTTCTTGTTGCATTTATCCCTTTACCACTATATAATGCTCCTCTTTGTCTGTTTTGATCTTTGTTGATTTAAAGTCTGTTTTATCAGAGACTAGGATTGCAACCTCTGCTTTTTTTTAATTTCCATTTGCTTCGTAAATATTCCTCCATCCCTTTATTTTGAGCCTATGTTTGTCTTTGCACATGAGATGGGTCTCCTGAATACAGCACACAGATGGGTCTTGACTCTTTAACCAATTCTTCAGCCTGTGTCTTTTAATTTGCCCATTTAGCTGATTTACATTTAAGGTTAATATTGTTATGTGTCAATTTGATCCTGTCATTATGATGCTAGCTGGTTATTTTGCCAATTAGTTGATGCAGTTTCTTCATAGCGTCGATGGTCTTTACAATTTGGTATGTTTTTGCAGTGGCTGGCACTCGTTGTTCCTTTCCATGTTTAGTACTTCCTTCCAGAGCTTTTGTAAGGCAGGCCTGGTGGTGACAATATCTCAGCATTTGCTTGTCTGAAAGGATTTTATTTCTCTTTCACTTATGAAGCTTACTGTGGCTGGATATGAAATTCTGGGTTGAAAATTCTTTTCTTTAAGAATGTTGAATACTGGTCCCCACTCTCTTCTGGCTTTTAGGGTTTCTGCTGAGAGATCTGCTGTTAGTGTGATGGGTTCCCCTTGTGGGTAACCTGACCTTTCTCTCTAAGGTCTGGCTGCCATTAACATTTTTTTCTTCATTTCAACCTTGGTGAATCTGATGATTATGTATCTGGGGTTGCTCTTCTTGAGGAAAATGTTTGTGTTGTTCGCTGTATTTCCTGAATTTGAATGTTGACCTGTCTTTCTAGATTGGGGAAGTTCTCCCGGATAATATCCTTAAGAGTGTTTCCAACTTGGTTCCATTCTCCCCGTCACTTTCAGGTGCACCAATCAAACGTAGATTTGGCCTTTCCATATAGTCCCATATTTCTTGGAGGCTGTGTTCATTTCTTTTCACTCTTTTTTCTCTAATCTTGTCTTTTTGCTTTATTTCATTGAGTTGATCTTTGATCTCTGGTATCATTTCTTCCACTTGATCGATTTGGCAATTGATACTTTTGTATGCTTCAAGAAGTTCTTGTGCTATGTTTTTCAGCTCCATCAGGTCATTTATGTTCTTCTCTAAACTGGTTATTCTAGTTAGCAATTCATCTAACCTTTTTTCAAGGTTCCTAGCTTCCTTGGATTGGGTTAGAACATGCTCCTTTAGCTCAAAGGAGTTTGTTATTACCCACCTTCTGAAGCCTGCTTCTGTCAATTCATCAAACTCATTCTCCATCCAGTTTTGTTCTCTTACTGGCAAAACGTTGTGCCTTTGGAGGAGGAGAGGTGTTCTGCGTTTTGAAATTTTCAACCTTTTTGTGCTGGTTTTTCCTCATCTTCGTGGATTTATCTACCTTTGGTCTTTGATGTTGGTGACTTTCAAATGGGGTTTCTGTGTGTAGATCCTTTTTGTTGATGTTGATGCTATTCCTTTCTGTTTGTTAATTTTCCTTCTAACAGTCCGACTCGTCTGCTGCAGGTCTGCTGGAGTTTGCTGGAGGTCCACTCCAGACCCTGTTTGCCTGGGTATCACCAGTGGAGGTTGCAGAACAGCAAAGATTGCTGCCTGTTCCTTCCTCTGGAAGCTTCGTCCTGGAGGCCACCTGCCAGATGCCAGTGAGAGCTCTCCTGTATAGATGTCTGTCGGCCTCTACTGGGGGATGTCTTCCAGTCAGGATACACGGGGGTTAGGGACCCACCTGAGGAGGCAGCCTGTCCCTTATCAGAGCTCAAACACTGTTCTGGGAGATCAGATGCTCTTTTAAGAGCTGTCATGCAGGGACGTTTAAGTCTCCTGAAGCTGTGCCCACAGCTGTTCCTTCCCCCAAGTGCTCTGTCCCAAGGAGAAGGGGGTTTTATCTATATGTCCCTGACTTGGGCGGCTGCCTTTTTTTCAGAGATGACCTGCCAAGAGAGGAAATATCTAGAGAGGCAGCCTGGCCACAGCAGCCTTGCTGAGCTGTGGTGGGCTCTGCCCAGTTCAAACTTCCATGTGGCTTTGTTTACATGGTGAGGGTAAAACTGTCTACTCAAGCCTCAGCAATGGTGGACGCTCCTCCCCCCACCAAGCTTGAGCATCCCAGGTGGATTTCAGACTGCTAACAGTGAGAATTTCAAGCCAGTGGATCTTAGCTTGCTCTGCTCCATGGGAGTGGGACCCACCAAGCCAGGCACCAGAGGGAATCTCCTGATCTGCCAGTTGTGAAGACCATGCGAAAAGCACAGAATCTGGGCCGGAGTGCACTGTTGTTCCGGGTACAGTCTCTCACAGCTCCCTTTGGCTAGGAAAGGGAAATCCCCTGACCCCTTGCATTTCCCGGGTGAGGCAATGCCCCATTCTGCTTTGGCTCACCCTGCATGGGCTGCATTCACTGTCCAACCAGTCCCAATGAGATGAACTGGATACCTCTGTTGGAAATGCAGAAATCACCTGCCTTCTGCATCAATCTCGCTGGGAACTGCAGACAAGAGCTGTTCCTATTCAGCCACCTTGCCAGCAAGTCCCCTGGTTCTTGTTTTTTCATTCATTCAGCCACTCCATGTCTTTTGATGGGAGAGTTTAGTCCATTGATATTCAGTGTTATTATTGATAAGTAAAGACTCACCCTGCCATTTTGTTATTTGTTTTCTGGTTGTTTCTTGGTGTTCTCTTCTTTCTTTCTCTCCTTTCTGTCTTCCTTTAGTGAAGGTGATTTTCTCTTCTGATATAATTAAGTTTCTTGTTTCTTATTTTTTGTGTATCCATTGTATTTTTTTGTTTGAAGTTATCATGAGGCTTGCAAATACTATGTAATATCCAATCGCTTTAAGCTGATAATAGCTTAATGTTGTTTGCATCAACAAATAAACAATTAAAAAAACTAATAAAAACTTTACACCTTAACTTCATTCCCTTGCTTTTTAGCTTATTGTTGCCTCTATTTACATCTTATTGTATTGTCTATGTCTTGAAAAGTTGTCATAGTCATTATTTTTTATTGATTCATCATTTAGTCTTTCTATTTAGCAAGAGTAGTATACACACCACAGTTATGGTGTTATAATATTGTGTGTGTTTCTGTTTACTTACTATGACCAGTGAGATATGTACCTTCAGGTGATTACTTATTGTTCATTAACATCCTTTTCTTTCTGATTGAAGTACTCCCTTTAGCATTTCTTGTGGGACATGTCTGGTGTTGAAATCACTCATCTTTTGTTTTTCTGGAAAAATCTTTATTTCTCCTTCATACTTAAAGGATATTTTTACTGGATAGGCTATTCTAGGATAAAAGTTTTTTTTTCCTTCAGTACTTTGAATATGTCATGTCAATCTCTCCTGGCATGTCAGGTTTCCACTGAAAAATCTGCTGCAAGATTTATTGGAGCTCCACTGTATTAAATATGTTATCTGTTTATTTTCTCTTGCTGCCTTTAGGATTCTTTCTTCATCCTTTGTATTTGGGAGTTTGACTATTAAATGCCTGAGGTAGTCTTCTTTGAGTTAAATCTGCTTGGTGTTGTATAACCTTCTTCTGCTTAGATATTAATACCTTTCTCTTGGTTTCAGAAGTTCTATGATATTATCCCTTTGAATCAATTTTCTACCCCCTATCTCTTTCTCTGCCTCCTCCTTAAAGTCAATAACTCTCAGATTTGCCCTTTTGGGGCTGTTTTCTAGATCCTGAGGATGTGCTTTTTGGTTATTTATTCTTTTTTTCCTTTGTCTCCTCTTACTGTATAATTTTGAATACCCTGTCCTCAAATTCACTAATTGTTTCTTCTGGTTGATCAGTTCTGCTATTAAAAGACTTTGATATGTTCTTCAGTATACCAATTGCATTTCTCAGCTTCAGAATTTATGCTGGAAACCTTTTAATTACTTCAGTCTGTTAAATTTATCTGATAGAATTCTGAATTCCTTCTCTGTGTTATCTTAAATTTCTTTGGCTTCCTCAACACAGCTACTATTTTGAATTCTCTGTCCTAAAGTTCACATATAGATATGTTTCTCCAGGATTGGTCCCTGATTCCTTATTTAGTTCATTTGGGGAGGTCATGTTTTCCTGGGTGCTGTTGATGCTAATAGATGTTATTTAGTGTCTGGGCATTGAAGAGTTTGGTATTTATTGTTGTCTTCATTGTCTGGGCTTGTTTGCACCCATCCTTCTTTGGAAGGCTTTCCAGATATTCAAAAGTACTTGGGTGCTGTGTTCCAAGCTGTATCTGTTTTGGGATGCTTCCAAAGCCCACTAACACTTTGGTTCCTGAAAACTAGTAAAAGTACCTCCTTGATGACCTTGGGCAAGAACTGGGAGAATATTCTGTGCTACCAGGCAGAGACACTTGTTTTCTTCCCTTACTTTCTCCTAAACAAAAGTAGTCTCTCTCTCTCTCTCTTTCTCTCTCTCTCTCTCTCTCTCTCTCTCTGTTTTGCATCACTTGAAGCTGGGGATGGAGCGAAATAAGCATTCTTGTGGCCACTGCCACTATAACTGAGCTGGGTCAGACTTGTAGCCAGCACAGCACTGGGTCTCTCCCAAAGCTTGCAATAACCACTCCCTTGCTACTGCCTATGTTCATTTAAGGCCCTAGGGTTCTACAGTCAGCAGATGGCAAGGCCAGCCAGACCTGTGTCCTTCCCTGCAGGGTGAAGACTTCCCCCAGGCACTGGGTGAATCCAGAGGTGCTATCTGGGAGTCAGGGACTAGATTCAAAAACCATGGAAGCCTACCTGGTATTCTATTATACTGTGACTGAACTGGCACTCAAACCATAAGATGCAGTCCTTCCCACTCTTCCCTCTCCTTTTCAAAGGCAGAGGAGCCTCTCCTGGTAGCTACCACCATCCCAGGCCATGGGGAGTTCTGCCAGACTACCACTGATGTTCTCTTAAGGCCCACGGGCTCTTCAGTCAGCTTGTGATGAATGCTGCCTGGCCTGAGACTCACCCTTCAGGGCAGTGGGCTCCCCTCTGACCCAGGGCAAGTCCAGAGATGCTGACTAAGAGTCAAGTCCTGAAATCAGGGATCCCAGGGGACTGCTTGATGCACTATCCCCCCGTGGCCATGCTGGTAACTAAGGTGCAAGACAAAATTCCCTTTACTTTTCCATCTGCTTTTCTCAAGCAGAAGGAGTTTTGCACTGTATCCACCAGAGCTGGTCATATGCTGAATCTCACCTGAAGGCAGAAAGTCTCAGAGGCTCACCCAAGGCCTTGACGTAGTACCAGGTAATCGTTACTGGTTGTTTAGGGACAAAGGGCTTTTCAGTTAGTGGGTAATGAATGCTGACAGACTGAGTCTGTCTTTTTTTTTTTTTTTTTTTTTTTTTGAGACAGAGTCTCGCTCTGTCGCCAAGGCTGGAGTGCAGTGGCGCGATCTCGCCTCACTGCAAGCTCCCCCTTCCGGGTTCACGCCATTCTCCTGCCTCAGCCTCCCGAGTAGCTGGGACTACAGGCGCCCGCCACCATGCCTGGCTAATTTTTTGTATTTTTAGCAGAGACGGGGTTTCACCTTGTTAGCCAGGATGGTCTCAATCTCCTGACCTCGTGATCCGCCCGCCTCGGCCTCCCAAAATGCTGGGATTACAGGCGTGAGTCACCGCACGCGGCCCTGAGTCCTTCCTTTTAAGGCAGCAGGTTCCCTTCTGGCTCAAGGTATGTCTGGAAATGTTATCTGGGAACTAGGGCCTGAAACAGTGACCTCACAACTCTGGTGCCCTTTCCTGCTGTGACTGAGCTGGTATCCAAGATACAAGACAAAGTCCTCCTCATTCTTTCCTCTCCTCTCCTCATGCGGAAAGAAGAGGTCTCTTTTAAGACTGCCAGCTATGCAGCCTGGGGTTAGGGGAGGGCTGATGCCAATATTCCCTTGACTGCTCCAGCTGGTGTCTCAGTAGGTTGCAAGCTACCCAGTCCACTGTCTCTGGGCTCAATTCAGCCCTGGGACTTGCCTAAGAGTTGCAATCCTTATGTCATAGACTGTCTTTCAAGTTTACTTGCAGACATAGGTTGCTGGAGCCCTCCGTGATGAGGTTTGCAGGAAATCAAGTCTTGACCACTAGGATCCACAATTCCCCTCTGACTAGGGCTGGTTTAAATGCTCCCTCTGTGGACAGGCATCAGCTGAGTTTGGTTCAGTTCTCCTTTCTGCTATAACGGAATAGCACTGAGTTCAGTGCCTCACTGTTGCTGTACTCTTCCTCCTGCAGTGTGGAGTTGCTCCCTGCACTGTGCAGCTTCTGCTGGGGTAGTGGCAGAGGGGTAGTATTAGCGATTCGAGACTGCTTTTACTATCTCTTCAGCGCCTCTTTCAGCAATACAGAGTTAAAACCAGGTACTGTGACAGCTCACCTGATTTTTGCTTCTTATGAAGATGTTTTTTTTTTTCTGTGTAGATAGTTGTTAAATTACTGTCCTTGCGGGGAAGATAATTGATGGAGCTTCCCATTCTGCCATCTTACTCTGCCTCTTTGTGAGTTAGTTTTTAAGATAAGGTGTAAGTTAAGGTCAAGGTTCATCGTTGCCTATGGGTATCCAGTTGTTCTAGTATCATTTATTGAAAAGACTACCCTTCATTGATTTGTGTTTGCACCTTTACCAAAAGTCAGTTGCCTATGCACCTATTCTTCTGCCAAACCACACTGCTTTGATTACTGTGGCTATAGTAAACCTTAACATGATATGAAGTGATTCTTCCTGCTTTGTTCTTCTTTTTGAAATTGCTTTAGCTATTCTAGAACCTGTGCATTTTCATAGAAATTTTAGAATATGTCTATGTTTATGTCTATGTCTACAAAAGCTTGAAATTTTAATAAGAATTACATTAAATCTATAGACCAATTCAGAGAGAATTGACATCTTTTATATACTGAGTTTTTCATTCTGTGAGCGTGATATGTCTCTCCATTTCTTTTTTTATGTTCTTCATCAGTAGTTTATAATTTTAAGCATATAGAACTTGTACATATTTTAAGTATATACCTAAATATTTTATTTTCTTTCTAACAATTGTAAATGATATTGTGCTTTTAATTTTATTTTCCACCTGTTCATAGTATATAGAAGTGAAATTAACTTTTGTATGTTGATTTCGTATCTTCCAAACTTACTGAACACACTTATTAGTTCTAGAGGTTTTTTTATAGACTTCAATGGATTTTCTATGTAAACAATCATATCATCTGCAAATAGGGACAATTTTATTCCTTTCCTTCCAACTGCATACCTTTTATTTCTTTTTCTTGTCTTATTGTGCTGACTAAAACTTCCCGCACAGTGTTAAGAAAGAGTGGTGAGAGCACACATCTTTCCCAGTTTTAGGGGGAAAGCATTCAGTCTTTCACCATTTAATATGATGTTAACAATAGGATTTTTTACATGTTCTTTATCAAGTTGAAGTAATTTCTCTCTATTGCTAACTGGCTCAGAGTTTTTATCATCAATATCTGTGGAATTTTGTCAAATGTGCCTTCCATATATGTTAATATGATCACGATTTTTCTTCTTTCACCTGTTGATAAATATTGCACCTACTATGTACCCACAAACAATTAAAAATAAAAAAATTAAAATGATGGATTACTTTAATTGAGCCAAATGTTCAACCAGTCTTGCATACCTGGAATAAATCACACTTTGTCATTGTATGTAATTTCTTTTATACATTGTTGGATTAGGTTTGCCAAAGTTTTATCAAAAATTTCTACTTCTAAGTTCTTGATAGATATTGGTCTGTATTTTTCTTATTTTATACTATCTTTGTCTGGTTTTGGTAGCAGGGTAATACTGGCCTTGTAAAATTAGGAAATGTTATATCTTTGAATTTTTGGAAGGCATCATGTAGAATTTATTTTAATTATGTTTTAAGTGTTTAGTAGCAGGGATTATTCATCGTGGTTGAGATTTTAGAGTGTGTGATTTTTAGGAAACTGGTCCATTTCTTATAACTGGTAAAATTTATGAGTGTAAAGTTATTCATATTCCTCCCTTATTACCCTTTCATTAACTGCAAGATCTGTAGTGCTATCTCCTGTTTCATTCCCCATATTGGTTACTTGTGCAATCTGTTTTTGTTTTTGTCAGCCTTGCTAGAGGTTTATCAAGCTTATAATTTGTTTGAGAATCAGCTTTTAATTGTATCAATTTTCTCCAATGTTTTTCTGTTTTCGACTTCATTGATTTCTCCCTTTCTCTGTATTATTTCATAATCTTTCTGCATGCTTTGTGTTTGTCTTTTTTCTTTTTTCTAGCTTGTTGAAAGTATTAGAATATTAATTTGAGACTTGCTTCTTGTTTAATGTAATGATTTCATGCTATGAACTTCTCTCTGAGCACTGCTTTAGCTGTATCTCCTATATTTTGATATGTTTGTTTTATTGTTATTTTCCTTAGAGACTTTCTCTTTGACTGATGGGCTATATAAAGGTGTTTTGTTTAATTTTGAAGTATTTGGATATTTTCCTGTTTTGTTTTATTATTGATTTCTAATTTGATTTCATTATTGTCAGAGAACATATCTGTATCATTTCAATTATTTTATATGTATTGAGGTGTCTTATGATGCTGGGTATGGTATATCTTGATGAATGTTCAATGAATGCTTAAAAATGTGTGTTCTGCTGTTCTCATGTGGAGTGTTATATCTATATAAATTAGATCCTGTTGGTTTATTGTATTGTTCAGCTCCTTTATATCTTTGATGACTTTCTATCTAGTAGTTCTATCAGTTGCTATGAAGAATATGTGAAAGTCCCCAACTATACAGATCCACAAGTATAGCTGGGGACTTCAACATACTATTTCTCCCTTTGGGTCTATCAGATTTTGCTTCATGCATTTGCTTCATTTATTTGTTTTGGGGCACTATTGTTTAATCCATGCACATTTAGGATCATTATGTCTTCAGGGTGAATTGATCCTTTTATCATTATTTAAAGTCCCTCTATCTCTAGTAATTTATTTGCCCTGAAGTTGATTGGATACTATGTATTAATTCCTACCTTTTTAAAATTAGTATTTACTTGGTGTGTCTTTTTCCATTCTTTTATGTTTAACCTACCCCTGTTACTGAAGTTGACAAGTGTTTCTTGCAAACAGTATATCATTGGGTAATGTTTGTTTGTTTCCTTCCAGTCTCTGTCTTTTGATTCCTGTATTTAGACTGTTTACATTTAAGGTTATTATTGATATGTTAGAACTTAAGTCTGCCATTTTATTATTTGTTTTCCGTTTGTTTCCTCTGGCTCTCATTCCTCTATTTCTCTTTTCTTGCCTTCCTGTTGGTTACTTGAACATATTTTAGAATTCTATCTTGAGTCATTTATAGTGTTTTTGTTTTTGAGTGCATATTTTGTATAGTTTTCATAGAGGTTGCTGTAGGTATTACAATACACATATGTGACTTATCACAGTCTCCTGGTTTCAACATTTTACCACTTTTAGTATAGTGGGGAAACCATACTTACATTAAGGTCCCTTTACCTTTCCCACTTTTTAAATACTATTGCCTTTAACATCAGATAATGCTATTTTTTGTTTCAATCATCAACTATAATTTATAAACTATAAACTCACAAGGAAAAAGGGAATTTATTGCACTTACCCACATTTATTTTTAACAGCTTTAGTAAGAAATCATACAGATACCATATAATTCACTCATTTAAAGTGTAAAATTCGATGTTTTTAGTATAACAGGGTTATGCAACATTCACCCTGCCTTAGTTTATTTCTGTTGCTATAACAAAATACCTGAGACTGAGTACATTATCAAGACAAGAAATTTACTTAGCTCACAGTTCTGGAGGCTGGAAAATTCAAGATCAGGTGGCTGCATCTGGTGAGAGCCTTGTGCTGCTTCATAGTTTAGCAGAAAAGTGGAAGGGGAATTGGTTATGTGCTAAGAGAGAGGAGACAAAGGAGGCTGACCCGTTTTATAACACAACCTGTTTTTGCAGGAACTGATTCAGTTTCATGAGGACTAACCCAGTCTCCTGAGAAAGAGGGTAATCCATCTTAATGACCTAATCACCACTTAAAGGCCCCACCTCTCAACATGGTTACAATGGCATTAAATTTCAACATGAGTTATGGCAGGGAGAAAACACATCCAAAACATAGCACACTACAATTATTTTTAGAATATTGTTCCCTCTAGAAATAAATCCCATATCCATTAGCAGTTACTCTTCATTCCCCCAAATTCTCCCTCCCTGCCAGCCCCAGGCAACCACCAAGATATTTTTTGTCTCTATTGATTTGCCTGATCTGGATATTTCACATATATGAAATAAAATCATTTGTAGTCACTTTGTTACTGGGTTCTTTCACTTAGTATAATGTTTTTGAGGTAGCATGTATCACTATCTTATTCCTTTCTACTGCTGAAAAATATTCAGTTGTACTGATACACTACCTTTTACTTACCCATTTATCCATTGGTGGACATTTGGGTTCTTTCTACTTGGCTATAATAAATAATGCCTATACAAACATCTGTGTATAAGTTTTTATGTGCATGTAAGCTTTTATTTCTATTTGTTATGAATCTAGGAGTGGAATTACTGAGTCATATCAAATCCTTTCCCCATTTATAAATTGGGTTGTTTGTCTTTTTCTTATTGAGATGTGAGAGTTCTTTATATATTCTGGATAAAATTCCCTTGTTGTACATATTACTTGTAAATATTTTCACATTATATGGGTTGTCTTTTAACTTTACTGATGATATTGCTTGCAGCACAAAATATTTAAAATCGATGAAGTCCAATTTATCTGTTTTTCTTTTATTGAGTGTGCTCTTGGTGTCATATTTAAGAAACCATAGGCTAACTCAAAGTCATGAAGACTTACTCTTATGTTTTATTATAAGAGTTTTATTGTTTTCACTCTTACATTTAGGTCTGTCATCTATTTTGAGTTGATTTTTTGTGTGTATGATGTGAAGAAGTTCACTCAATTTCATTTGTTTGTATGCTGGTTTTCACTCTTCCAGTGTCATTTGTTGAAAAGACTATTTTTTGCTCTATGGAATTCTCTTTGAACTTTTGTTGAAAATCAGGTGACCACAAATGTAATTGTGTCTTTGTGGATTCTGAGTTCTATTCCATTGATCCACAAGTCTCGCCCTATGCCACTATCTGTCTTAATGATGCTTTGTAATGAGTTTTGAAACTGAGAATTCTGAGTCCTTCAACTTTATTTTTATTTTCCAAGGGTACTTTGACTGGTCTGTGTCCCTTTAATTTAATTTCCACATAAATGTATCGATGTGTTAAACTGCAGATACATTGGGGGAGGGAGTTGGGGAGAATGTGAAGTGACTACCAATGGGCAAGGGATTTCTTTAGTGGGTGGTTTAAATGTTCTAAAATCTATTGTGGTGATGGTTGCACAATTCTGGATATACACAAAAACATACTGAACTGTACACTTTAAATGAGTTCAGTGTATGGCATGTAAATTATATCTCAATAAAGCTTATTAATGAAATAAATCTAATAATGAAATGTGAAGCTCTCATCACAAATTTAAAATAATTAAGTAATTAAAGAAGCCAAATATTATATCCAAAACTCATTGGAACACTCAAGTTCAATATGAAATCAAATGATAGTGTCCAAACTCATCATGAAGGGCCTAAACTGGCTATAATCGATGTTTGTAACCAAAATTGAGAAATGGCAGTACAGTACATAGCATGATTTCTAACAGACCAAAATTCAGTAGTCAGCTATGTTTAAATTAGAAAAGTTTTGTAATATTCATAACCACTGTTTTCTAGTGTCACTCTTTTTTTGCTAGATCTAAATGTATTCATAGTTTCATCATTAATAAATTCGTTCATTTATTGTACTCCTGGAAAACAAACAAGTATTTTTATGCTCATTATAATAAAAACATAATGGAAATTCAATTTACTAAAAACCTAAACCTCTTCATATTTAAAAATTTATTTGAAACATTGAAGTAATTGCTAACAAAAACCTAAAGAAGCTATCAAGTTAAAAAGATAACTTTTTATACTTCTATTTTAAGTTTAGGGGTACAGGTGCAGGTTTGTTACATAGGCAAATGTGTGTCATGGAGGTTTGTTGAAGAGATTATTTTATCACACGGGTATTAAGCCTAGTACCCATTAGTTATTTTTCCTGATCCTCTCCCTCCTCCCACCCTTCACCCTCTAATAGGTCCCAGTGTGTGTTGTTCCCCTCTTGTATGCCCATGTGTTCTCATCATTTAGCTCCCACGTATAAGTGAGAACATGTGGTATTTGGTTTTCTGTTCCTGGGTTAGTTTTCTAAGCATAATGGCCTCCAGCTCCATACATGTCCCTGCAAAGGACATTATTTCATTCTTTTTTATGGCTGCATAGTAGTCCATGGTGTATTTGTGCCACATTTTCTTTATCCCATCTATGATTGATGAACATCTAGGTTGATTCCATGTCTTTGCTGTTGTGAATAGTGCTGCAATTAACAAATGTTTGCAGGTGTCTTTATAATAGAATGATTTACATTCCTTTGGTTATATACACAGTAATAGGATTGCTGGGTCGAATGGTACTTCCGTCTTTAGTAGGTCTTTGAGGAATTGTCACACTGTCTTCCACAATGGTTGAACTAATTTATACTCTCATAAACACTGTATAAGCGTTCCTTTTTCTCCACAACCTCACAGCATCTGTTATTTTTTTTGATTTCGTAATAATTGTTATTCTGACTGGTGTGACATGGTATCTCATTGTGGTTTTGATTTGCATTTCTCTAATGATAGGTGATGTTGAGCTTTTTTTAATGTGATTGTTGGCCACTATATTTCTTCTTTTGAGAATTGTCTGTTCATGTCCTTTGCCCACTTTTTAATGGTGTTGTTTTATTTCTTCTAAATTTATTTAAGTTCCTTGCAGATGCTGGATATTAGACCTTTGTCAGATGCATAGTTTGCAATTTTTTCCCATTCTGTAGGTTGTCTGTCTACTCTATTGGTGGTGTTTGTTTGTTTATTTGTTTTGTTGTGTGGAAGCTCTTTAGTTTAATTAAATCCCACTTGTCAATTTTTGCTTTTGTTGGGATTGCTTTTGGTGTCTTTGTTGTAAAATCTTTGCCTGTTCCTATTTCAAGGATGTCATTGCCTATGTTGTCTTTTAGGGTTTTTGTAGTCTTGGGTATTACATTTAAGTCTTTATCCATCTTGAGTTAATTTTTCTATATGATATAAGGAAGGGGTCCAGTTTCAGTCTTCTGAGTATCGCTAGCAAGTTATCCCAGCACCATTTATTGAACACGGAATCCTTTCCCTATTGATTGTTCTTGTCAGGTTTGTCAAAGATCAGATATTTTTAGTTGTGCAGTCTTATTTCTGGGTTCTGTATTCTATTCCATTGGTCTATGCCAGTACCATGCTGTTTGGTTATTTAGCCCTGTAGTATAGTTTGAAGTCGGGTAGCATGATGCCTCCAGCTTTGTTCTTTTTGCTTAGGATTGCCTTGGCTATTGGGTGTTTTTTGGTTCCATATGAATTTTAAAATAGTTTTGTTCTAGTTCTGTGAAGAATGTGAATTGTAATTTAATGGGAATAGCATTGAATCTACAAATTGCTTTGGACAGTATGGCCATTTTAACGATAGTGATTCTTCCTTTCCATGATCATGGGGTGTTTTTCCATTTGTTCGTTTCATCTCTGATTTCTTTGAGCAGTGGTTTGTAGTTCTCCTTGTAAAGATCTTTCACCTCCCCAGTTTGCTCTAGTCCTAGGTATTTTGTTGTTTTTGTGGCAACTGTAAATGAAAGTTTATTCATGACAGGTCTTGGCTTGACTGTTGTTGGTGTATAATAATGCTAGCGATTTTTGCACATTGATTTTGCATCCTGAGACTTTGCTGAAGTTGCTTATCAGTTTAAGTAGCTTTTTGGCTGAGATGATGGGGTTTTTGAGAGATAGAATCATGTCACCTGCAAACAAGGATAGTTTGACTTCCTCTCTTCCTATTTGAATGCCCTTTATTTCTTTCTCTTGCCTGATTGCCTTGGCCAGAACTTCTAATACTATGTTGAATAGGAGTGGTGAGATGGGGCATCTTTGTCTTGTGCCAGTTTTCAAGGGGAATAATTCCAGCTTTTGTCCATTCAGTGTGATGTAGGCTGTGAGTTTGTCATATATGTTTCTTATTCTTTGAGGTAAGTTCATTCAATACTTAGCTTATTGAGAGTTTTTAACACGAAGGGATAAAGATAATTTTAATTTTTCATATGTCAGTGAAATTATGTGACATACACATGATGGTACATATGCCATATATTCGCCAGTCTTGTCAACATTTTAAGCAAGGAGGCTAAATTATTCCACAGATCAGCTGAATGATTCATATCTGCCCTTGTTTGCCTAAAATGGAAGCTGCAAGGTCATATTTTCTATTCATCCTGGATACTCATAAAGTCCTTTTCAATCCCCACACAGGTCCTTTGCAGGGGTTCACCTGACTATACTCAATGCAGTGTTCCACTTCTCTGTAGTCAAGAAAGAAAAACGAAATGTCATCCATTCACCACTGCCTAAGAAAGACATAGCCTAAATGGACAGCAAATGTCCAGTTATATAAAAAACCCACACAGCTGCACTGAGCCCTGGGAATAATGCCAGTATTGCTAATAGAGCAATGCTTCTCAATGTGTGGATACACTACCATTGGTGGTCCACAAGAAAATTTGCGGGGACACACTGGCAAATGTTTTAATAGTTATGTATTTGTTTTCTTGTGTACTAAGAAAAATAAATACTTAGCACACAAAATCTGTGTTCTCAAAAATATTACTTTTTGAGGATGGGTAAAAATTATGGTATTATTAGTAATTCCTTTACTTAGAATGCTCATCCATCTCTCTTGTTTGTCTTTGCCTCATGAGTAAGTTCTTCCCTGACCCAACTTTCAGACAGTTTTAGTTGGTTCTCCCTCTGGTCCCCATAATGTTTTTCACATATCTCATTTATATCACATTTCAGATTACAGTGTAATTTTTATAAGCACACTTATTTTTATTAGAGTGTGAGCTTCTCAAGAATCAGAGTCAAATCTTTGTATCCTTAGAGCCTGATACAGAGGTTGGACCCTTGTAGTGCTCAATTAATATTTGTGGAATTAATGCATATGAATTACAACTGTGGTCAGGATAATTACGTTCTACAAGCATTGATCTAGTAGCTATTTCTCAGTTGGAGGCACGATGGCAGGGTATCTCAGGGAGAACTGAAAATTTAAAACTACAAGACAGGAAACCAAGCATAATTAATTCTCTATTTGATTAATTACATTAGCAAAATTTTATATGCTGAGTTTTCTTATAATAATAGATTTCTGATCTAAGATTCAAAAGCAGAATTACTGAAAAGAAATAAAGGTTGAAAGAACTGAAGTTTAATTAAGAGAGCAGAGGCTCTGGAATCAAACTGTTCTGAGTTTGAATTCTTACTCAACAATTACTAGCTTTATCATCTGTATACTGAGGACCAGAGATAATTCATATGAAGCCTAACAAAGTACTTTATACATGGTAAGATCCTGATAAGTGCAAGCTGTTATTATTAATTTAAAGCATATCTTACTAATTACATACAACTAGTAATTCTGTGAGGTCTAGCCTAAGAGAAAAATATAAAGAAGTCCAGTTCTCCCCTCTTACTTTGTTACCATTCTTACTCCAACCCTCTCTCATGATAGCATTATGATCATTACCTTCCAGACTTATGCCAACCACCAGTTTAAAGCACACCTGGTCTCTCTCTCCAAAGTTCCTGGTATAAATCTTCCCTATACAAGGAAATAAATCATTTTCTAATTCATACTTTCCTGGTGGCAAGGAGATAATTGTTTAAATTTAAAAAGTTTTTTCATCTAATTTCTACTGGGTTAGAGTAAATCAGAATGCTGTCAAGCCAGGAAAGTACTTAATTAAGTAGAGAAGGTGACAATGAGTCAGCGTACTTTGTTGGAAAAATTACAGGCCAAAAGTTTAAGTAGGAGACCAGATTTCTAGTCTCTACTTTGCTAATAACTCACTTAGAAACTTTAGGTGAGTTGTTTAACTGCTCTAGCCTCAACTTCGTTACCTGAAGATGGTAAGTTCTATGCCGCCAAGACACTGGCTTATATTTTCAAAAAAATAAGGCTGTATCCCCCACTCACTCCTGAAACCAAAATAAATTCCAGAGGACTGAACAAATATTTAACTATAAAATGTCAAACTATATAATTTATAAAGAGAAGTGTAAATGGATTTGTTTATACCTGTGGAATAGAGAAACTCTTCTAAAGGAAAACACAACCAGAAGTAATAAAGGAAAATAATAAGACTACATAAAAGCTTAAGTCTTCTCTCTAGAAAAAAATATCACTATTAAGAGCTGAAAGAATGAAAGAGAAAATCCAGTAGAAAAAGAAAGGATATGGTCGAAAAATTCACAGACAGGAAATACAAATGGTCATCAAACATATGAAAAAATGTTCAGCTTCACTCGTAATTAAAGATATGCAAATCAAAAAAAGCCATTTCAATCTATTCAATTTTTAAAAATGAATAATTTTTCAGGTACCAAATGCTGTAATGTCAAAGTGAGCATGCTTCTGTGTCAGAGTATAAATTGGTGCTGCTCTCCAGTGCCAGTTCTTGCCACCTGTCTCTGAAGTACTTCTTTCCCAATCATTCTCAGAGATGACCCTCTTCCACTATTCCTATTTTCTGATTTGGCGTCCCACAGCCACTTTATAGTCTGGGACACTATGTGCAAATAGGTACTTTTTTCCATCACACATCATGTCACCTCCTCTGCTTTCTGGAAAGTTCAAAGTTCCTTCAATATGGCTCTTTTTCTCTCTCCTACTCTTTGGAGTCTCTTCTCTAATAAATAAGTTCTACAAATTTCAAGAACCTAGCCAGTGTAATTTTCAAATGGTCATTAGCAGTTGGCTGCCTGGAAGAAACGAAGACTTGAGTAAGCTCTTAAAATGTAAACAAAGCAAAAATTAATATTCAAGACATTAATCTTACCACAGTTATTTTAAAGATGAAATTAAGATAACCAAATACAATAGAATGCTACATTTATTGACAAAAATTAGCATAAACTCACAAAACAATGTTTCTGTTTTCAAGAGCTATACAAATATTAATATTTTTCACAGAGCAAAACCCATCTCACAAACCAAAAAAGCATGAACCATATATATTTTATTACCTTTTTTATCTCCAGTGTGGGCCTTATTCAGAAGAAATTAAGTGCTAAATGGTATCCAATCTTACAATAAATTTAGAAGTAAACTAGAACATAAAAACAAATAGGAAACTGAAGGAGTAATTATATTTTCCCTTAAACATGAATTGATCATGTGTCTGTATATGAAGTAGACTAAACAATATATATATTCCAACAAGTAAACTATTTAGAGAGCATATTTTTAAAAATATTATCTTATTTCCACTTAGGCAATTTAACCCTGAAACCAAGGGAAGGAGTTCCAAAGATATGCTTAGTTTATTGGAAATAATGAAAATATGTAAATGTGGATTTATACTATCGTCATTAAAATTTGTGAGAATTGAGCATGTCCATTTGCTTGAATTGTTACTCATTTCAATATAAAATATAATCTTTTTAGGTTTTGAGTAGGTGTAAATGATTGAAGCATGTCAGCTATTGTTTAACAAAGGAAGTGAGCATAGACTGAATAAAAAACGGATAGAAATAAACAAACAAAAAAGAATGATTCCTTGAAAAACAAGTAAATGTGAGAATGTCACCATGTCCTTAGAAGGTAAGAACACACACACACAGACAGACACACACACACACATATATATGATGCCTCCAAATATGACTCTTAAGACATAAATTTTAACGATTCCTCCTTAGTGAATCTCCCTTTCTTTCTTCCTTCCTGTACTCTAGCTTTGCTGTGCATTCTAGAGCATTTTAAAATTTAATACCTTTGTTGAAGAGCCATTTGTCCTTTTATCCTCTTAAAGGACTATACAGTTAATGTTAGCAATAGCAAAGATTGCCAATTCCCCATACAAGAAAATCTACTTGAGCTCTGCTACTTCATCAGAGTGTTCATATCTACACTTTGAGGATTAAAGACAACTAGTTTTAACATCATTTTATCTCACCTTAAATGTGTCTAAGTTAAAGCAAGCTCCAGTTGATGGCCCATGTGTTTCAAATAATTTACAACAAAACGAAACAATTCGTAGGTTATATGAAGCTTGTTATAAAATGATAAGTAAGGCTCTAAGTGAATGGATAAAGCCCAAAACAGGAAAAGGAAAAAAAAAATCCTAGCATAACACAAACTGAAGAAAATCAATTGTTACAGACATCTAAAAAATCGCATTTAACTTTAGCTTTTGGTTAAAATGCCATCAGTTTACTAAATTGAATATTTTTCTTAATAAAGATGTTGGTTTCTAACACACAACCTATTTGACAGGTCACCACTATTCTCTCATGAAGGGTGATTATTTCTAATCAACCCTCACTAGTGAACAGTTGGACTACACCGAAAACTGATCTATTCTTGAAAATAGGCTCTTGTCTCATATAGGCAGCCTGGGGCATTTATCAGTTCTTGAATTCTTGTTTCATTTCTTTTTGTAAGAGTAACCAGCATTAGTGAACTTTCTAAGGAGAAAAAGCCTGAACATTAAGGCCAATTAAAATAAACAAAGTGAAAATATAATTGCTTTAAACTAAAGATGTCATTTTTTCAATGTGCCACAATAGCCGCAAAACTTTAGAAGTGTCACAATCTACATTTCCATATTTTAAAAGCTATGAATTAATATCTGTGCTTCTATAAGTTGAGGATGAAGGTTAAACGTTCCTATCATATTAAGATTTTAAAAGTCTATTTCATGCAAAAAAACATAGATATCAACTATACCAAAAGTATAAATTAAGTTCAATAGATAGGATTTAGTAAATACCCTAGAAATTTTCTAAGAGAGTAGATATTAGGTGCTCTTACCACAAAACAATAATTTTTTTGTTGTTGAATATGTTGACTTGCTTGACCGTAGTAATCATTTCATTATATGTATATCAAAACATCATGTTGTACATCTTAATATATACAATTAATCTTTTAATTTTAAACAATAACTATGTATATAAATAAATTTAAGGGAAGCTGAAATCTTATAAAGTAAGAAAGTTTGAAACTCTTTTCAAGTAAATGATGACACCTACTGGATGTTAGAAATCTTCAAATAACATTTAACCAATAATGAATCTCATCCGCAATTTTTATCTGAAAACCTCTTTGCTGGCAAGGGAAAGAAGAAAACATGGGCAAGCATTTGGACGTTCAAGATTAAAAACTCACATTCACCAGACTTACTTTAGACCAAAAAACAAATAAAGGAATAAGGTAAAAAGTAGTTTTTCTCTTCTGAATTTTCTACTTTCTTGAGGTATAGAAAACTGACTAGAGAATACAAGTTTAAGATCATAGATGAGTGAGGATCCAATGAATCAGTAAAAAGATATATCTGAAGTAGGTTGACAGCCAGAGTTTCATCTTGAGTTTTAAGGTCATTGAGATGGAACATAATTCGTGTTTACCAAATGTGTCATTTAGTCATTAACATTTCTGTATAAACTGTGTAATTGCTGATATCACAACCGTAGATAAAATTTTTAGTAAAAAAGTGAAAAAAACTGCCTGATTTTTTTTTTTTTTTTTTTTTTTTGAGACTGCGTCTTGCTCTGTCACCCAGGCTGGAGTGCAGTGGCATGATCTCGGCTCATTGCAACCTCTGCCTCCCAGGTTCAAGCGATTCTCCTGCCGCAGCCTCCCAAGTAGCTGAGATTACAGGCATCCACCACCACACCCCGCTAATTTTTGTATTTTTGGTAGAGATGGGGTTTCACCATGTTGGCCATGTTGATCTCGAACTCTTCACCTCAGGTGATCCACCCGCCTCAGCGTCCCAAAGAGCTGGGATTACAGACGCGAGCCACCACACCCAGCCAACTGCTTAAATTTTAATAGATGATCTTTCGCAAGTCATTTAAGCTCTCTGGGCTTGTGTTTATTCATCTGTATTCCAAGGGTATTGAAACTAGAAAATCTCTATTAGTATCTGCTAAACTTGAATGTCTGAAAGCCTAAAAATAGCATTCTTTTAAATTGTTACTTTAAAAGTCGGTAGAAATTTTACAAATAGAAACATAAAATGTATTATATTCCTTTTACCCCTAGAAAGCAGCTCAATTTACTTTTACCACTGGAAAAATAATCTATCTGTCATATCAGTGGCTACTCTTTAATTCAGTATTTTATTAGTCTTTGGCCTGCTGCAAATAAACATAGGACATAGGAAGATTTGGGTCACCAGAATTACAGTTTTTCCAGAGTCAGTCTCAGCTAAGTGGCATCATCAATTCAAATAAATTTCTGATATCAATCTTAAACAAGGCTCAGAAATAAGTGTATTGATGTATTTGGCTCACTGTAGACTTGGATTTATTTTACCCTCTGAAAATACCAACAAAAAAAATCTAAAACACTGTATTCTAATAATATGATAGAATTCTTGCATTATTTGCTGACAATAGTATATAGTTTTCCAATTTTTTATTTTATTAAAATACAACAGGAATAATAATGGTGTTGCATGAGGTCAAAATTAGAGATATTTTAACAGAGAAAATAAAGTATTTCTTACTAGTCAATCAGTATTTTTGAGATCCCATTGCATGCAAAGTAGTGTATCTAGAATGCTTTTAATTAATCATATATATATATAATTTTAAACTATGAATATACAGAACATTTGAAGACCTGTTTTATCTTGGCTGTTTAGCATTCCTTTTCTCATAAATACATAATATTTTCTTTTGGATTCTCTGTCAATATATCTTAATGTTGGTGCCTTTAATCCATAAATTTTCATATCTTCCTGTGTCATTTTTAACTGGTTACTAAATGGACACGTTACAGTTCCTGTAAATTTTGGGAGTGGTAGTAGGCATGCTTAATAGCCAGGTAAAATTAGGGAATTCTGTGGAGAATTGTCAGGCAATCAATTTTCCTAGTCATTAATAAATTAAAAAGAGAAACAAGCCAACGTAATCTTAGAAAAAAATAGTCCAGTAAAAAGTCTCACTTTGACAATTACACAAAAATAACCTTTTTACTCTGGAATAATTTATCAATTTTAGAAAAATATATTGGAAAAGTAGTAAATTCTACAGAAGGTATGTAGAGTGTGATGTGCTGAGTAAATATTTAGGCAAAAGGAAATAAGTATATACAAGTTTGACCCAATTTGAAGAAGTTTGATGGAGTGGTTGGGAAAAAAAGGAAAAATCAAGCTTGCTTGTGTCCTATGAGTAGTACAATCTAAATTGTATAGTATAACAGCAGGGAAGAATTTCTTAGGGCTAAAATAATTGAAGAAGGCTTTTGTCAAAGAGGTGATATTTGGATTGGGTCTAAACAGTTTGGTAAACATTTGATAGGTGAAGATATTTGAGAATGGGGCTGCAGTCAGAGGTAATAATACTGCAAAGGCAAAGAGCCTAAACAGGTTTGCTAATGTAAAGGACCGCTCTGGTTAATGGTTAGAAGGAAGAACATGAGGAAATGGGGGATTGGGGTCAAGAAACAGAAGAATGTTTCACACTTAGAAAATGTTCTTTTGCATGCATGACTATTTTTTCAATTTAATAAGATATAAATCACAGTTGCAACACGTTAGCCTTCAAGAAGAAAAAACTGGCCAAAAAAGAAAATTGCTGACAAATTTAAGAGGAGTTTTAGAGCTCACTGACCTGCACATTATGCTTTGCTTCTCTAAGCTTTACCTTCCAAGGCTCCTCAAGATAATTTGTTTCAATCCACTTGGACTAGGCACTATGTTCCCTGAACAAGTACAACCTTTTCCTGCCGCTGCATTTGCTGTAATGTAACAGTCTACCGAACTGTTCACAGGCAAGCCAAATTCCACTTCCTCAATCAAACCCTTTGCCAAGTTACCTTAGTCCTAAAAGATCCTTCCCTCCTGTTTTATTATTGAATTTAGATTGCACCATTCAGATAATACAATCAGCTTTGATTTGTAAATAGGTATGCATCTGTTTGCTCAATCCTACAAAATTATAAAATTCCTTAAAGACAGAAGCTGTGTAATGCAACTTTGCATGCTACAGGGTTTCGCATTTTCATAAGCTAGTCTACAAAAACAAAATCCGACTCACAAAATAATGCTAAATAAGAATTTGTTGAATGGATGCATTCCACTGCTGACACATTTTCATTCCCTTCATTTTTCTTCTTATCCTTATGAGGCAATCCTTATATTAAAATCAATTTTTATGCTTATCTTCTAACTGTTGGAGAATAAAATGATTGAAACATATTTAAGTTCACCCAGGAATGCTTTTACCATAAGGGCAAAAAGTGACATCAGGAACATCTAGGGATTATCCCAATAACTGTGGACGAAGGAAGCAATTTAAATATCTTTCTGATTTACTTACTTGAATTAGAATGCAGTATGAAGTTGGGGGAAGGAAACTGAGCAGCAGTCACGCAGGCTCATTCTACCTGATCTATGTAATTCCATACTATCAGTGCTGGGGAAGAATGGGCAATAATAATAATAATAATGATATAAATATATAACAAAATAAAAATAATATAGCAATAGTAAATATAATAATTACAATGGGTTATTCTGTTAGGCTGTATTTTTGCTTGAAGGGATGGTTTGGCACTCTGTAGCAGATACAGTGTTTATCTCTTAAACTGATTATTCCAAATTTTTTAACCTACATAAACACAAATGAATTCTTCCTAAAGTAACTGTTCAAAAGGTTAAATTTCTTTTTTGATTAACCCTCCAGGATAAGGATTTGGGTTGTTGTTTGGGAGCACTTTTATACACAGGTAGCTCTTACAACAACCACATCAAGGCGCCTCTGAGAAAGGGCGGTGGGGAATTAGATCCTCTATTTTAATCATATTTATTCCCAAGTAATTTATTCATCAATCTCCACCTCAACCCTGAAAACTTTAGGTCTCAGAAACTGACACTGAAAGGCACCTATAAGCCTCTCTTACAGTCGAAAGTCACCTAAATATGGCTGGGACTAGAGTGACGCTATGGAGACATTCTCCTTTGGCAAAAATTTTAAAGGGCCGCCTAGAAACTCAGTAATGAAGATACTTAATATTTTTAGACAATCTTTTTAAATATCAAAATTCTTGCAAAAAAGTCCATGATGAACAAAATATCAAAAATTTAAATAAAGACAGGATCATACCCTGCACTTGCGTGACTCACCTCACTCGCCTCATCCTAGTCTCCTGGGTTTTTGTCACAAGCTTAAATTTTGTGCCTGAGGCGAGTACCTCAATGGCTTTATGCTAGTCTAGGTTCTGAGTCCTAAACACTTTCGTGGATAGCACCTTCTTGAGTCCTTTCACTAAATGCAACCTTCAGATTAAAAATCTATTCTCAGTGTTTTTCATTTGGATAGACCTCTGCTATTACACATTTCCCTCGGAGTCCCGCTGAATTCTTCGTATACCTCCTCCAAGTGGGATAACGGTATAGCTCCCGGTTTTGTCGCTACTCTACACCTGCGGAAAACACGCCATTTTGGCACCCTCCTCTTGCCAGCACCACAGTTCTGCTTTGGCAGGATGTTCCCACACCAGAGAAACATCTCCACTCTTTTGCGCTTTCTGAATGAATGTTCTTGTCGGTTCAACACCATCCCGCCAAAGGTGGCAGGGAAAGACCGGAGCCCAGACTCAACTGGTCTTAAAAGCACTTATCCCGCTAGGAATAGGGAAGGGTGGCGGGTTTGGAGGCTGTGAAGAAAGCAACTGTTGTGGCTTTCGCCTGTCATTATAACATAAAAGAAAAAAAAACTGATCAAGTCAGCTCTGGCTTTCCTGCTGTTCTTATTCCTGATCGCTTAGCCCTTGCTAAGTTCGCGTGCTCCGCCACTACACCAGCGGTTAGAGCCGACAGGGAACGAGGGCTTCGGGCAAGTTCGCGGGCCACGCCCCTCAAAGCCGGCTGCCTCTTCTTATTGGCCTGAGAGCCTGTCACTCCAATGTGGCTCCCACTCCGGTTAACCATTCACGTAGTTTGGTTGCGTCTTGGCGTGTTTAATGTTGCCAATAACGAGGGATTTTTTTTTTTTCCAGAGGAGAGTACAGGTCGTGCTGCAGTTAGTTCATTGAAAACTCATTTGCTCTTGGAGCAGTCAGGCAGTGACTGCCTTCGGCTTTTTTTCTGCTGACTAAGATCTCCTATAGAGAGCTACAACAATGCCCAAAAGAAAGGTAAGTGAAATGGAAAGACAGACGGGGAATGAGCTGCTGAGTTACCTATTTCCTAATAGGAAGAATTTATTTGTTTGTTTGGTTTTTTTTAAAGCTTTTTGGCTTCTTCCATTTTGTGATGTAATGAAACGGAAAGGGGTAGAAGGGCAAAGAGCAGTCGGTGTAAGGTTTAGGATGGTCTTGCATGCAACTGGTAGTTCACTTTTGGAGTGTTCTGTTTAAGGAGAGAATCTCTTGAAAGGTGTCTCCATGCTGAATTACAAACAGCCATAGCGCTGGGCTGTCGCTTCCTACCCCAACCCCCTTCCTCCGCTTACCCTATTGGAGAACACTTCTCCCAACCATACTTCAGTTTCCTCCTCTGCCACCGGCTTTTCTCGGGGAACCGTCCCGTCTGGGGAACGAAAGCCATGGCTTTCTCCTGTATTTGCCTTTGTTCTTCCCGTTTTCTTTTTTCTTTTTTTTTTTTCCTTCCCTCCTCCTCCACTTCTTGTCAGGCCAGATGGCTATGCAATGGTAATCCTGTGCCATTAGGCGGCGCAGACTTCAAACTGTCCTAGAGAACAGAGATTCACCGCTGTAATTAGAAACTTTAGGGGTGAGAAAGCTGGACCTTTCCAAGCTCTTTAGCTAAAGATGGGAAGATTATAAGGAGACAGCGTCGGATAAACTTGCTGATGTTGGGGTAGCATGGATTTGTTCACTTTAGTAGTGCAGAATTGATCTGAGCCTTTCGAGCTCCACAGGTCTTCTGCAAACCCTCACTTCACAATTCCTGGCTCCTCGCAGACAGGAAACAAGTTCACGCTCGGCGTTTTTTTCTTAGTCCCCTAGAAGTGAAATCGAACGCTGTTTCATTGCTTGGTAAAACCGTATAACACTATGCTAAGACATTATGATTGTTTTTGGATTATTCCTATAAACAACTCCGCCTTCCTTATTCCTAAAACATAGGAATAATACTGAAATTCCCCCGTGCTCTGTGGCTGTCTGAATCGTGCAATAGCTTGATAATTCTCAGGCTAAAGGGCTGCTCAGATATGGAAAACAACTGTTTCTAATCACCATCCCCCCTTCCTGAGATTCCCGCCACTGTGCTTTTCTATACTTGTGCAGTAGGTCTTGCTGTTTTCCAGAGCTGACAGCAACCTTAAAGCAGGTAGTGGCGGGAAGTTTTAAAATCGGCGGCCAGTTTCTTAGAATAAAGCATTGACTTTGTAACAAAGAGGTCTCCCCAAGAAAACACTGTGGGGGCTGTAATTCTTGCATGCAAAACTTGGAGAAAATAGTCCAGAATCAGTGGAGAGGATAAGATAGGTACAATTGCATGGCAAACATAAGGCAAGAAAGCGAAATTGCATGAAGCTCCGCCTTCATTTGACCCACCCCCACATTTTTGGCTTTTACATTATCTAAAGCAGGTGGATTTCAAAATTACAAAGGTTTGCTTTTAGGAGATGCAATTTACACAAAAGGATGAAATTAACTATCAATTGTGTAAAAGTATGTCTTGTGCATGCACTTGCATCTTGGTGCACATTAGTAAAACAGCAGTATGTAGCATGGTTCCTAAGAAACAACACGTGTCTACTTGAGCAGGAACCCAGGAGAAAGTAATAAGCAATTATATTGAAATTTGTAATCCGCAGGCAGTATTTTCTGATTTATGTGTTTATATCAATGACCTTATTTCTGTGTGGTTTTCTCCTCTGTGTAGGCTGCAGGTCAAGGTGATATGAGGCAGGAGGTGAGTTTCTTTAGTCTTAGCATCTATTAGGAAAAACCACTCGTTTTATAAACTTGACATAAGCAGCTAAAAAATAGATGCTGGTTGGTATATTTGTACAATATGAGTTCCAATATGGTATACCAGTGGGATCTCTCAAAAATATATATCCGAATTTCAGAAGAGAGGACTTTTTAAAATTGCCATTCAGAATAAAAGAAAAGGCTTTTTCACTTTTTTTTATAGAAATGATGGTACGGAAATATTCTTGACAATAGAGATGTGCTAATATTTTATTTGGGTGTTTTGTGGGTTAGACTATGATTTGGTGTGTGTACTTTACAGGCTTACATGTTGCTTACTTTAGAAAGTTGAGGCTCTAAATGACTGTTCACATATGTGAAACATTTCTTAAAGTACTATATAGTTTTTGTTATTGCATTAAATATATATTGTTCTAACTCCTAGAGTATGCCATCTTCTATATGTCCTACAAAGCGAGAATCATTGTTGTGCGACAATTATATTAAAGAAACCTCTCAGTTTACCTTTATGGCCTTGTTAATCTAATATTTTGGTCAATGCATATTATTAATTTTAATCTAATTAATGCACAATAAAAATATACTGAGTGTGAAAAAAATGTATATATAGTAAGTATTAAAAACTGCAAGCTTCTTCGAATTTAAGACCTTATTGTGCTTGTTCAGATGTGGAGAGAACTTCTTCCTTTTAAGCAAAATAATTGCTTTGTCATTTGGCAAGAAAAGGCTATATTTTCATTTCTAAATGTGCTCCTTGTTACTAGCTACTGTGTTAATTTAGCCTAGCTGCTTAAGCTTAATTTGGGACTTTTTCCTTAGTATGTAAAGTGTTCAGAGGACGGAAAAATCAAAACTTATATTTCTCTTGTATTTTCTAACCAAATTCACAATTACTTAATGACAATATTTATGTATTGTTACACCAAATATTTTGACCTCAATAAAAATAATTCTAGCTTTTTGTATCCATAATTCTCTTAACAGATTTTTGTTTTTAACTTATAGCCAAAGAGAAGATCTGCCAGGTTGTCTGCTGTAAGTAATCTTTTCAAAAAGCAGCCCATGTATTGTGAAACGTCATTTTAAAATTTAGGGAATCCTAAAATATTCAATACACGATTTATTTTTGAAGTTTTAAGAAAAACTTTCACACCAAGGAAATGTATTTTTTTTCCTAATACTCATTTATTTTAATTCAGAGGTTGGATTTCATTTTTAGCGTTCTTTCTTCAAATATGATTTTTTTCCTTTTCTTTTCTTTTCCCACAACTTGAAGCAGATGCTTGTGCCAGTTACACCAGAGGTGAAGCCTAAAAGAACATCAAGTTCAAGGGTAAATATTCAACGTAGAATATTGAAATAAATTTGCTTTTTTTTTCAAAAATAATTTTTGAAATGGCATACAGCTGATCATTTTACTTTGCTTATATTTTGTTCAGTTAGTAATATATTATATTCTATCATATGATACATGTAAACCCCTTGGGTGGGGATTATTTGTTCTGTTTTGTGATTGTCCACAGTGTTTTGACATTTTCACTGGGTAGAGACAAAACAATTTCAGTTGGATAGGCCCATTAAATGTACATGCCTTTGCTATCATATAGTGACAATACTGTTTCCCTGGGAAAACAAAAGGTGAAAACAGTAGTAACCCCAAAGTTGTGCTTTGTAATAAAAGTAGTAACTAACATTTGATAATATTTTACAGTTGGCAAAGTATATAAGATTATATATAATTATATATATAATATATGTAAGATGTATTTGCATATGTTAATTTTAAATGGACACAATTGATTTTGTATGGACTTATATACTCTGGTGTTATGGCTAAAGGCATGTAGAAATAGATATAATCTCAATATTTAGTTTACTGCTAATTGCTTAATACATAAGAATATTGATTGAATTCCTGAAATCATAAAAGGTTAAAGCTATGAGAAACATTAGAGAGCATCTAATCCTATCACTTTGTAGTTGAAGAAAGTATAAACTGTCATTATGTTCATAAATGAAATCCTTTATTAAAAAATATTGCTAAACTTAGGGAAATTGAAGTTTTAGTAATAATTGATATATTTAATGGTGACAAAAGAAAAGAAGGTTTTTTTTTCTGCATTTTACTTTTCAAGTCCACTATTATATAAGGTTAAATATTCAACTTACTAGTTTTTAAAACAGTAAATACAGCATATTTTCTTTTAAAAAGAAAAGTAAGGCCAGACGTGGTGGCTTACACCTGTAATCTGAGTACTCTGGAAGGTTGAGATGGGCAGATTGCTTGAACGTAGGAGTTTGAGACCAGCCTGGGCAACATAGAAAATCACCATCACCACAGAAAATACAAAAATTAGCCGGGCATGCCTGTAGTCCCAGCTGCTTGGGAGGCTGTTGTGGGAGGATTGCTTGAGCCTGGGAGGAGGAGGTTGCAGTGAGCAGAGATTGCCTCACTCCAGCCTGGGCGACAGAGGGAGTCCCTGTCTCAAAAAAAAAAAAAAAAACGGAAAAAAAAGAAAAGAAAAGAAAAATAGGGCTAGACTAAAACATATACTATATAACCATAGACTTTACCCTCCTTGGCTCTGTTTCTCATGTGTTAAAAGAGTAATAACTTATATCTAAATTACAAATTACAGTTTCTAAAGCATTTTTTTCATGTGTTTTCTCATTTTCTCCTTGTAACATCCCCGTGAGGTGGGTGGTATTACTCTCTTTTTATATATGAAAATAACAGCCTCAAAGATACTTATGCCTTTGCTCAAGATCACATCACATAAGTGGCAGATCTAGAATTCAAACACAGGTTTTCCGGCCCCTCAATCCAGTGGTCTTTCTATTACATACACAGGTAGGCAAAAATTTTCTTGGTGAAGTCGTCATGAATCAGGGCATTCCAAACTTGTAGATACAAAGATTGAAACACTTACATCACCATAAGGTCTTTTAAAAATATATCTAAATTGTTGTTCTCACTAACAGCATTTCTCTTAATTATTACCAATGGAGGCGTAACGATCAACAAAACCCTGTTCCTTATTAATTAGACTTGACAGAAATAAACTGACCCTCTCTAGACAGAGGGAATTAATTGATCAGTCTAACCTGATGCCAGCAGTTTGTCCTTGGCAGCAACTAGTCAGCATTCTAACTGGTTGCCTCTCATCTATATCACTCAACTTAAAAGGAAATTTATTTTGTTTATATCAAGGGAACATTGTTCATTTTTAATCCTGCTTTAGGCTTACAATGAAATTTACAATGAAGATATTATATGATAATTTTGTTGATACCAGATTTATATGTGATACTTTAAAGAGTTTGCATAAATTATTACAACAGCTGGTAAAATAATTGTGACCATTTAATCAACACAGCAGTTAAATTGTATATTTACTTTCATTGTTTTATATTGCTTGGCAGAAAATGAAGACAAAAAGTGATATGATGGAAGAAAACATAGATACAAGTGCCCAAGCAGTTGCTGAAACCAAGCAAGAAGCAGTTGTTGAAGAAGACTACAATGAAAATGCTAAAAATGGAGAAGCCAAAATTACAGAGGTATTTTCTAATGTTAACAGTTTTATCTATTTGAAAGTTTAACAATGGGTACAACTGAAAGAAATCCTATTTGCCTTTTAGTTTATAAGTTGGAAAAAAATTAAGTGAGCAGTGGTTCTATAGTATAATGGTATCTAAGAGGAAAATAAAATTAACTTAAAATATGAGAATTTAGAGGGACCAGTAGTGCGAGCAGTGGCTTAGCATTGCTGTTACTAGAACAATGCCAATGATTATGACTTAGTACTAACATAACAACCTTCTTATTAAATACAAGCCAATCTTTATTCCTTTTATCAGCACACAGGCTATTTGTAAATCCCTTTTCCAGAATTTATGATTCTTTTATTTCCTCTGTGGATGGCAAAGCAAATCATTATATAAATGTTTTTAATCTTATTTTGCATATTTAATGCATACAACATTTTTAGGTATTGTAATAAAACACTGAAAATGGGTGTAGCCACCAAATCTATAAACCAAACATATGCAAATATGGAAAATCTTTTGTAAGTTATCTTATAATATCTGGTACAGTACTTTTCAAGTAATTTTTACATAAAAAATATCATTATTATAGAAACAAAATATGTTATTTTCCAAGGACTATATTTTGTTTACATGCATAGTCCTCATTAAGAATTGCTGATACAGAATAAATATATGTCATCCTTTAAGTATTTACTTTGTGCTTCTTCATATTTGAAATAAAAAGTATTTATAAGTGTTTCTGTATTTATTGTTTCAAATATCTATTTGTAGATATTTCCGTGGACATATTTTAGTTAATCTCATTTCTTAGAATGTTTTCTCATAATGTGATATTTAGCAGGCTTCTTTCACAGGAAAATTACTTTCTTTAAATGAAGTATTAGTCTTTCTGTGAAATAGATATAATCCAGTGTAAATATTTAGGGGAAATGGTTCTAAATTTACAGACAGAATCTTGTTTTTCTTTTCACTATACTTACAGGCACCAGCTTCTGAAAAAGAAATTGTGGAAGTAAAAGAAGAAAATATTGAAGATGCCACAGAAAAGGGAGGAGAAAAGAAAGAAGCAGTGGCAGCAGAAGTAAAAAATGAAGAAGAAGATCAGAAAGAAGATGAAGAAGATCAAAACGAAGAGAAAGGGGAAGCTGGAAAAGAAGACAAAGATGAAAAAGGGGAAGAAGATGGAAAAGAGGATAAAAATGGAAATGAGAAAGGAGAAGATGCAAAAGAGAAAGAAGATGGAAAAAAAGGTGAAGACGGAAAAGGAAATGGAGAAGATGGAAAAGAGAAAGGAGAAGATGAAAAAGAGGAAGAAGACAGAAAAGAAACAGGAGATGGAAAAGAGAATGAAGATGGAAAAGAGAAGGGAGATAAAAAAGAGGGGAAAGATGTAAAAGTCAAAGAAGATGAAAAAGAGAGAGAAGATGGAAAAGAAGATGAAGGTGGAAATGAGGAAGAAGCTGGAAAAGAGAAAGAAGATTTAAAAGAAGAGGAAGAAGGAAAAGAGGAAGATGAGATCAAAGAAGATGATGGAAAAAAAGAGGAGCCACAGAGTATTGTTTAAAACTGCCCTATGTAGTTTCATAATTTGGTAACATGTACCTTCATGTTGTAAAGTTAATAGAGATAAATATTTTTATCAAAAATTTTATAAACACAGCCTTTCTTTAGCATTGATTTAATTTCAGAACATCTTCATATTGATTATTAGCCATAAAGTTTCTAACATGAAACATTTATCTATAAATTTTGTGATTATAGTAGTGGAATACATAGAAAAAAATATGCTTTCAACTTTGTGAGTGAATTTCGTGTTGTGTAAGTTATATGTCAAATCTTTGAATTTTAATTTTACTCTTTTATACATGTGATAATTTCATAAAGTGAGGGATCCCAAAAAAAGAGTTTCATCCAACATTCTTGTTCTGCAGGTTGCTTTTATAAAGAAGGTGAACTATTTTCATGTAATGTTAAGAGTTAAACTTATCTTTCCCAAATATAACTTTATTATTAGCTTGGGAAAAATGAAATTGTATTCCCATTTTTAAAATAAATACAAATGTTTATTTCAGAAGGGCAGTTTTGATTATATGTGAATACACAAATTTTACTGGATTTATCTTAATAAAAAGACTCTGACGATGATTGTGTTTTGTTATATCTTCAAAAATATAGCTAGTGAAATATTGTGCTTAATTTTTTTCTATTGTGTTATTCATGAAAATATTTAATATTCACTGACATAAAATTAATATAAAGTAAAATTCACCATTTTAATTATAATAAAAATAAAGTATATAATTCAATGGTTGTCAGTATATTCACAATGTTGTGTCCACTGTTTAATTCCAGAGAATTTTTATCACCCAAATAAGAAACAAAGCACCAATTAGCAGTCTCTTCCCATTTTCGCCCAACTTATCCCCCACCTCCATCCCTTGGCAACCACTAATCTGCCTTCTATCTCTATGGATTTGCCTATTCTGAACATTTATTATAAATGGAATCACATAATATGTGTGTGGCCTTTGGTATCTGGCTTCTTTAACTTAGCAAAACGTTTTCAGGTCAATCTCCATTGTAATTTGTATCATTACAGCAGGTCTCAATTTTGTTCAATGCTGTTTGGTTATAATTTTGATGAGAAAATAGATTCCCAGCTGGGGCCACTGTTTGTGGAGTTTGCAAGTTCTCACCATGTCTTCATGAGTTTTCTCCAGGTAGTTCAGTTTCCTCGTACATCCCAAAGAAGTGCATTTTAGGTTAACTGGCATGCCTAAATGATCCCAGTATGAGTGTGTGTGTGTGTGTGTGTGTGTGTGTGTGTGTGTGTTCCCTGTGATGGACTGGAGTCCTGTCTAGGATGGGTTCCCGCCTTGCCTTCTGAGCTGCTAAAATAGGCTGCAGCGATCCACTACTGTAAACTGGAATAAGCATGTAAATAATTATCTTGTTCTTATTGTTCTTAATTCTATGCATAGCTTATATTTATTTCAGTGTTTAATATTAGAAGTATTTTAGTCTTTAGAAGTTTGGTGATGCTGTAACCAGAAATATTTGGTAGGAACTTAACTCTTATCTATTTCAATTAGCCTGTTGGTAAAATTGGTTTCCTTATGTGTCGCTTAACTTAAAATTACAGTTTCTAAAAATCTGTCAACGATGTTAAGTGAGGACTTACTGTACTTTATTTCTTCTAATGCCTGAATAATATTCTGTTAATATACCACATTATGTTTGTTGATGGGCATTTGGGTTTTCTCCATGTTTTTTCAATTATAAACAATAATGCTGTGAACATTATTGTGCAAGTTTTTTTTGTGGATGTATTTTCTCATTTCTTCTGAGTATATATCTAGGAGTGAAGCTATTGGATCTTATAATAGTTCTATGCATAAATTTTTGAGGAACTTTTGGACTTTTCCAAAGTGGCTTCAGCATTTTATATTTCTACTAGAAATTTATGAGTGTTCTAATTTCTCCACGTCCTTGCTAACACTTATTGCATGTTTTTTATTACAGCCATTCTAGTAGGGTGATTTGGAGGTGATGCAAATCATATGATCTTGATTTGTATTTCTCTAATGATGTTGAGCATCTTCTGATGTGCTGGTTGGTCATTTGTATATCTTCTTTGGAGAAATGTCTATGCAAATCATTTTCCATTATTTAATTGGGTTGTCTCTTTAGCATTGAGTTCTAAGATATGTATATCTTTTACATACAAGTCCCTTGTCAGATATATGATTTGCAATATTTTTCTCCCATTCTGTGGTTTTCGTTTTCTTGATAGTGTCCTTTGATACACAAATTTTTAATTTTTATGATCAATTCATTTTTTTCTTTTATAGCTTATATTTTTGGTGGTATATCTAAGAATTTTGTCAAACCCTGGGTTACTAAGATGTACACATATGTTTTCTTCTAAGAGTTGTATACTTTTTTCTCATACATTTAGGTCTTTGGTACATTTTGTGTTAATTTTTGTATATGAAGTGAAGTAGGGATCAATTTTCACTCATTTACATTTGGCTATCCATTTGCCCAAGTATCATTTATTGAAAAACACTATTCTTTCCCCATTCAATGGCCTTGGCACCTGTGTCAAAATCAATAAACCACAGATGTATGGGTTTATTTCTGGACCCTGAATTTTGCAACATTGACCCATGTCAATCTTTGTCAGTACAAAAATTTTGATTACTGTAGTATTACAGTAAGTTTGACATCAGAAGTGTCAGTTCTCCAACTTTGCTCATTACTTCAGGTCTCTTGCAATTCCACATAAATTTTAGGATTAGCTTGTCCATTTCTGCAAAAACAAGGCAGGGAGCAGTTGGTGTTTTGACTGGGGTTGCAATTAATATGCAGATCCACTTGGGGAATATTGCCATTTTAACAATACTAAATCTTCCAATCCATGAACACAGTATGTCTTTCCGTTTATTTAGGTTCTCTTTCATTTCTTTCAGCAATAATTTGTATTTTTTGGTGTACAAGACTCCCACCACTTCCTTGGTTAAATTTATTCCTATTAATCTTTGCTGGTGTAAGTGAAATTCTTAATTTCCATTTTGAATCATTCATTGGGAGGGTATAGAAATGCAACTGATTTTTGTATACTAATCTTGTATTCTGCAATTTGGCTGAACTTGTTTATTAGCTGTAATAGGCATTTTGTGGAATTTTCAAGGTTTTCTATTTTACAATTATGACATCTGTGGAGATAGTTTTACTTCTTCCTGTCCAATTTTGATGACTTTATTTTTCTTGCCTAATTGTCCTGGCTTTAAAAAGACTTCACAATATTAAGAATAAAAAAGGAAATACGCAAAATGCAAGAGGTCTAACTTTCGAAACACAGACCTCTGACTCTACTTTTTCCTGGGCTGGCAAGTCCTTTACCATTTTACACCCTCTCTCAAACTTTGTACAATGCTACAGTTATCAAAACCAACCCCAAAGATCAGGTTGAACTTCTAGGCACCTTGCTTGGATCCCCTGCTTCCTAGCCACATTGTGCAACCACAGAGAATGGATTCATATAACATTCAACAGAGAAACTAGTCTCTTAAACACCTTGATGCCATTCGTTATCAATGCGAAATGAAAATAACGATCTTGGCTTCCTCTTTAGAAACATATTCCAGGTTTCTAGCAGAACTGTGGTAATGGATTATCTTGAGTTTTCATGTGAAAGCTTGCTTTCTACAGAAGGAGGGTAGTCAGCTTCCCTGTGCAATGTTATTTTAACTACATGATAAAGCCCTTATATAGCAAGAATACTGTAATATACTAAAACAGGGTCATTTCTTCATACTATATTATTACAAAAGTAACCTTTCTTCCTCAGGTCTTATTTTGTCTCTTGATGTTTAATTGGATTCTACTTTCCCTTTACCATCCAAACATTGCCTCACACAGTTTCTCTCCTAAAAGCCTCAGCAACTGCAAGATGTGGAGGGAAGAGTGGGGTAGGAGTGGTGGTAATTTATAAAAACAGTACACCATCACTGTAAGTGAAAGTGAATGTACATTACAAATCTACTGTAGTAGAACACTCTTTACCAAGGTTGGAGAGAAATAGCCAATGGTACCAAAAAATCTATAAGGAGCACCACACGGAAAAGTTGTTGAAAAAGGACTTTTGGTGCCTCTTTAGTAATATGAGACATATTTTTTTAATTGTCTCATTTGCAACATAAGTTTTCAGTAACATATAATGCTGACTTAGACAATAATTGATTTTCTGAGTATATACTGCTGAAGTTTTAATCTAAAATTTTCTGGTGACACTATAAAGTGTTTACCCCTAAGCTTTATTTTGTCTGGTAGGGAGGCATTCCTCAGAGTCAACAGTTTTCTAATGGGAATAACCTCAGAAGTCATATTGTAATTAGATGCGAAAGTATGATTCTGTTTATCGTTTATTGTTCCTTAAAAAAAGAACCATTAAATGTAATTCTTCTGGGGCATTTCTACTACATAAAAAAGGCCTGCTGTTAATGTTTCCTCCAATAATGTTTAAAATGTTCTATACTGGTTATCATTAATCTTTGTTTTAAAAACCCATGTTTAATATGGCCTGAAAAAAGAAGATACAGAGCAAGTGCAAGTCAGACCTGAAGTCTAATCTTATGAACCATAATATAATAGGCATTATTAATGACCTACTGAGATCACAATTAAATCTTGACATCATTTTTAAAAATCAGGTTTTGATAATCCTCAAACAGTAATTTATTGGTCCTAAAAAATTATTTTTTGAATATATTATTGCAGCAATTTTCTAAAATTTAAAAGCAGAACTGTTAGAACAAGTTGTTCAACGTATAAGAAACAAAGTACACCAAGTCAGCTCTGGTTTAGAGCCTCCTGTGCTATAATTAAATTAAATCTAAGCCAGGCAGTAGCCAAATTACTCGTGTGAGAATACTTTTTAAGAATACAGAGACATGATTGCCTCCACCTTGGTCACCTCAGGCTCCACCACCACTGCCTCAACTGCCTTGACCACCTCTCACCTACCCTGCCCAACCCACCCTGGCCTCCCTTCAACATCCTACAGGATAGCACATTGGAGATATATTTCCACAGAATCTGGCATTACATGTTCCTGTTCAGAAGTGAGTAGTCAGTGTAACTGGTATCCTCCAGAGGACTATTTACAAGAGAGAAGCTCCTCACATGGTTCTTTGTAAATACTTAGGAGAGGGCTTATCTAGATCATGTGTTATGTGGACTCCACAACAAAAGTCAATCTTTCTATAAATCACTCATTCTGGTTATGATTCTCTGGGTAACAATAAGTTTACACCTTTGCTTTCTATGGATCTGCTATAAATGTTATAGCCTGCTTACAGGAGAATGCTGGTTATCTGAGAAACCATGTTGAGATGCATCATGGCAGCAGACACAGAAAGCAGAGAGGAGCAAAGCTGGGAACCAGCCTGTCTGGGCTCAACATGGAGCCAGGAGAGCCTCTCCAACATAAGAAAGGGTGAGTGAATGAGAACTCCCTGGGGGATTCACACTCTCCATGAGGACCTGTGCAAGACAAGAAAAGTGAGAATCCCCTGGCCTTCCCTCATCCCTGCCACCAACCTTCTAGACTAAGGCAAAGAGCCGCCCAGATGTTTTGTGGTGGCAACTTTCAAGTTCAAGGGAACCTCTACAAGCCTTGGGCCCAAGAGTAGACAAGCACTGGCACCATTGCCCCAACAGAGGACATAGTCATGGGACCTGTGAGCAGAAAGATTGCTTAACTCCTACTTGCCAGATAAGGTTCGATACCAGCTTTTATCCTAGCAGTCTGCTTCTGCCTAAACTCAGCACAGGCACAGCAACCTGCTGTCCCAGGAAGCATTTGAATGGCTGGGCAAGATACCCCACCCACCACTGCCAATGGTAACACCACAGGCAGTGCCTGCTAGAGATTCCAGCCCAGTGGTCCGTCTTCTGTGTTAACTCAGCCAGAGGATGCAACCTCCTGTTGTCCCCAGAAACACCCAAATGGCAGGTTAGGTGACCCCAACCTCTCCACTAGTAGTCTGATGGACAATGCCTGCTAGAGCTTCCAGCCCAGTGGTTTGCTTCTGTCTGAACTCAGCGAGTGGGCATAGCCTCTCATTATCCCAAGTAACATCCTGATGTCAGGATGGGTTTATTAGTTTTTTCTTGCACTGCTATAAATAAATATCTGACACTGAGTAATTTATAAAGATAAGATGAGTAGTTGGCTTTTGGTTCTGCATTCTGCATGCTATACTGGAAGCATGGTGGGATCTACTTCTGGGGAAGCCTCAGGAAACTTACAATCATGGCAGAAAGCAAAGGGGAAACAGGTATGTCTTACATGGCTAAGACAGGAGGAAGAGGAGGGAGAGTAGAGATGCCACACACTTTTAAACAACCAGATCTCAGGAGAATACACTCACTATCGTGAGGACAGTACAAAGAGGGAAATCTGCCCCCATGGCCCAATCTCCTCCCATCAGGGCCTACCTCCAACATTGGGGATTACAATTTAACATGAGATTTGGGTGGGGACATAGATCCAAACCATACCATTCTGCCTCTGGCCTCTCCCAAATATCACATGCTTCTCACATCGAAAAACACAATCATGCCTTCTTAACAATGCCCCAAGCTCTTAACTCATTCCAACATTAACTCAAAAGTCCAAAGTCTCATCTGAGACCAGAAAAGCCCCTTCCACTTATGAGCTTGTAAAATAAAAAACAAATTAGTTACTTTCAAGATACAATGGGGGTACAGGCATTGGATAAATATTCTTCTTCAAAAGGGAGAAATCAACAAAAAGAAAGACCCCACACATATCTGAAACCCAGCAGGGAAGTCATTAAATCTTAAAGCTCCAAAATAATTTCTTTTGACTCCATGTCCAACATCCAAGATCCATTGGTGTAAGGGGTGGGCTCCCTAGGCCTGAGGTATCTCTGACCCTGTGGCATTGCAGGGTTGAGCCCCAGAAGCTGCTCTCACGGGCTGCCATTGAGTGCCTGGGGCTTTTCCAGGTGCAGGTTGCAAGCTGTTGGTGAGTCTACCATTCTGAGGTTTGGAGGATGGCGACCCCCTTTGCAAAGCTCCACTAGGCAGTGTCCCAGTGGGGACACTGTGTGGGAGCTCCAACCCCACATTTTCCCTCCACATGGCCCTACTAGAAGTTCTCCATGAGGGCTCCACACCTGCAGCAGGCTTCTACCTGGACATCCTGGCATTTTCATACGTCCTTTGAAATCTAGGTGGAAGCTCCCAGCCTCAATTCTTGCACTTTGTGAACCCACAGGCTTAGCAACACATAGAAGCTGCTGAGGCTTATGGCATGCACCCTTTGAAACAGTAGCCCAAATTGTACCTGTGCCCCTATTAGCCATGGCTGACCTGAAGCAGCTGGGATGCAGAGAGCAGTGTCCTGAGGCTCTACATGGAAGTGAGGCCTTGGGCCTGGCCCAGGAAATCATTCTTCTCTCCTAGGCCTCCAGGCCTGTGATGGGAGGGGCTGCCATGAAGCTCTCAGAAATGCCTTCAAGGTCTTTTGTCCATTGTCTTGGCTAGCAGTACTTGGCTCCTATTTATTTGGGCAGATTTTTGCACCCTGTTTGACTTCTTCCCCAGGAAATAGGTTTTTCTTTTCTACTGCAAAGCCAGGCTGCAAATTTTCCAAATTTTTGTGCTCTGTTTTTCTCTTAAATATAAGTTCCAGTTTCAGGTCATTTATTTGCTCATATATATGAGTGCAGGTGGTTAGAAGCTGCCAGGTCACATCTCAGACGTTTTGCTGCTTAGAAATTTTTTCTACCAGATACCCTAAATCATCTCTCTCTCAAGTTTACGGTTCCACAGATCCCTAAGGCAGGGGCAAAATCCAACAAAGCTCTTTGATAAAGGATAACAAAAGTGACCTTTGCTCCAGTTTCCAAGAAGTTCCTCATCTCCATCTGAGACCTCCTCAGGCTGGACTCACTGTCCATATCACTATCAACTTCTTGGTCACAACTATTTAACAAGTCTCTAGGAAGTTACAAATTTTCCCTCATCTTCTTGTCTTCTTCTGAGCCCTCCACACTCTTCTAACTTCTGCCCATTACCCAGTTCTGAATTCACCTCCACATTTTCAAGTATCTTTATAGCAATGCTCTGTCTTCAGTACCAATTTTCTGCATTAGTCCATTCTCACATTGCTATAAAGAAATACCTGACAGTGGGTAATTTATAAAGAAAAGAGGCTTAATTGGATCATGGTTTGTGGGCTGTATAGGAAGCATAGCAACTTCTTTTTCTGAGGAGGCCTCAAGAAACTTCCAATCATGACAAAAGGCCAAGGGGAAGCAGGAACATCTTACATGGCCAGAGCAGGAGGAAGCGCAGGAGGAGGTGCTATACACTTATAAGCAATAAGATCACGTGGGAACTCACTAACTATACAGTACCAAGGAAGGATTGTATTAAATCATTCATGAGAACTCTGCCCTCATGATCCAATCACCTCCCAGCAGGCCCCACCTCCAACACTGGGGATTACAATTTGACATGAGATTTGGATGGGGATACATATTTAAACCATATCAGCAGATGACCCTGACTGCCCCTGATGGTGGTAGCCAGGCAGGCAATGCCAGCTAGACTTTCCAGCCCAGTGATATTGCTTCTATCAGAAGTTAGTCCATTGATGAAGCCTCTTATTGTCCCAGAAAACACCTGGACAGCAGATGTTTTTCCCAACTCTCATAGCCAGGCAATCCATGCCTGCTAGAGCTTCCAGCCCAGTGGTACTAATTCTGCCTAAATTTGCCAAGAGGTGCAGCCATGGAAATACCGGATCAAAAGGGTGGACGACTCCCCCGACCCTCAGCTCCCATAGGCAGACAGGCTACACCCACTAGAGCCTCCAGCCCAGTGGGCCTGAATCTGCCTCAACTCAGCAGGCAGGTGCAATCCTGTGTTCCCCAGAGAAACACTCAGACAGCAGATTAAGGCCAACCCAGCAGGGATATGACCACTCTGCCAACTGCAGCACCTATTAAGAAAGTCTTATGGACCAGAACACACAAAAACAAAATGAGGCCATGGAGGCAGAAATTGGAGTGAGCTCCTCTGAGCCCCAGGATTGGGCTAGAATAAAAGCCAGTTGACTGAACCCACCCTATGCCACAATCAAACACTGAAGGGCATAAAAAAATAAAATAAATAAACAACAAAAAAATCCTAAGGACAGCCACTTCAAAGGAAGGGACATCAGCCCACGTAGATTAGAAAAAAACAGCACAAGAACTCCAGCAACTCAAAAATTCAGACTCTTCTTACCTTCAAACAGCCACACTTGTTCCCCAGTAATGGCTTTTAACCAGGGTGAAATGGCTGAAATATCATAAATATAATTAAGAATATGGATAGGAATGAAGATCATCAACATTCAAGAGAAAGTCAAAACTCAATTCAAGGAATTTAAGAGATACAATAAAATAATACAGGAAATCAAAGATGAAATGGTCATTTTAAGAAAGAACCACACTGAACTGATAGAGCTGAAAAACACACTTCAAAAATTTCATAATAAAATTATAAATATTAAGACCAGAATCAACATAGCTGAGAAAAGAATCTCAGAGTTTGTAGACTGATTCATTAAAATAACACAGCCTTAAAAAATAAAGAAAAATCAATAAAGAAGAATAAATAAAACCTCCAAGAAATATGGAAATCTGTAAAGAGACCAAATATATGACACATTGGCTTCCCTGAAAGAAAGGGAAAAAAAAGCAAGCAACTTCTAAAACATATTTGAGAATATCACCCATAAAAATTTTCCCAACCTCGCTACAGAGACAGACAGTCAAATTGAGGAAATGTAGAGAACCCCTGTAAAATACTATACATATGCCATCCACAAGACACCTAGTCATAAGATTCTATGAGGTCAAAATGAAAGAAAAAAATGTTAAAGACGTCTAAAGAAAAGGGGCATTTTCATGTGCAAATGAAACCACATCAGGCTAATAGAAGATCTTTCAGCGGAAACTCTACAAAACAGAAGCATTCATAAAGAAAAGAAATTCCAACCAAGAATTTCATGCTCAGCCAAACTAATCTTTATAAGTGAAGGAGAAATACGATTCTTTTCAGACAACAAAATGCTGAGGGCATTTGTTACCACCAGACCTGTCTTATAAGAGGTCCTTAAGGAAATGCTAAATATGAAAAAAAAAAAAAAGATTGTTACCAGCCACCAGAAATGCATGCACACTTCAGTACATAGACCACTGGCACTATATAGCAGTCACACAATCAAGTATCCTTAGTAACCAGCTAACAACACGATGACAGGATCAAACCTACATATGTATATATTTTTCAGACAGAGTCTCACTCTGTCATCCAGGCTTGGGTGCAGTGGTGCATTCTCAGCTCACTGCAACCTTTGCCTCCCAAGATCAAGTGATTCTCGTGCCTCAGCCTGCCGAGTAGCTGGGATTACAGGCACATGCCACTATGCCCAGCTAATTTTTGTATTTTTAATAGAGACAGGGGTTCACCATGTTGACCAGGCTGGTCTCAAACTCCTGGCCTCAAGCAATCCACCTGCCTTGGCCTCCCAAAGTGCTGGGATTGCAGGTGTGAGCCACCACACCCAGCCCAAACCTAAATATATTAATATTAACCATGAGTGTAACCAGGCTAAATTCCCCAATTAAAAGGCACAGAGTGGTAAATAGGTTAGTAAGACACAACTGTTTGCTGCTTACAAGAGCCCCATACACATGCAATGACACTCACAGGCTCAAAGTAAAGACATAGAGAAAAATCTAACAAGCAAATGGACAACATACAAAATCAGGGGTCCCTATGCTAATTTCAGGCAAAACAGACATTAAACTGGCAATGATCAAAAAGAAAAGAAAAGAAAAAAGGGCACTGCATAATGGTAAAGGGTTCAATTCAACAAGAAGACCTAACTATCCCAAATATATATCCATCCAACACAGGAGCACCCAGATTCATAATGCAGGTTCTTAGAGACCTATGAAGAGATTTAGATAACCACTAAATGATAGTGGGAGATTTCAACACCTCATTAACAGTATTAGATAGATCACTGAGGCAGAAAACTGACAAAGTATTCAGGGCCTGAACTCAACGTTTAACCAAATTAGCAAAACAGACATCTGCAGAACTCACCATTCAAAAACAACAGGATATACATTCTTCTTATCTGCACATAGCATGTATTCTAAAATCAACCACAGAATCAGCGATAAAAAAATTCTCAGCAAATTCAAAAAAATTAAAATGATTTTAAAAACACACTATTGGACCACAGCACAATAAAAAGAAAAATAATTCCTAAGAAAATCACTCAAAACAATACAATTGCATAAAAATTAAACAACCATCTCCTGAATGACTTGTACATAAACAAAGAAAGGCAGAAATCAAGGAATTCTTTGAAATGCATGAAAACAAAGATAAAACATACCAGAATTTCTGGGATACAGCTAAAGCAGTGTTAACAGAGAAGTTTAGAATGCTAAACACCCACAGTGAAAAGTCAGAAAGATCTCAAATTAACAACTTAAAATTACACCTAGAGGAACCAGAGAAGCAAGAGCAAACCAACCCCAAAGCTAGCAGAAGACAAGAAATAACCAAAATCAGAGCTGAACTGAAGTAAATTAAGATGTGGAAAATGTTACAGAAGACCAACAAATTTAGGTGTTGGCTCTATGAAAAAATATGATTGATAAACCACAAGCTGCCCTAATAAAGAAAAAAAGGAGAAAAAAATCTAAATAAGCACAATCAGAAATGAAAATGTTAAAATAACCACCACCTCCAAAGAAATATAAAAATCCCTCAGAGAATATTATGAACATCTCTATGCACAAGAAGTAGAAAACCTAGAAGAAATGGATACTTTTCTGGAAACATACAACCTCCCAAGATTGAACCAGGAAGAAATTAAATTTCTGAACAGACCAATAACGTGGTCTGAAATTGAATTAGTAATGAAAAGGTTACCAATGAGTAGAAGCCAAGGACCAGACAGCTTCACAGCTGAATTCTACCAGATGTATAAAGAGTTGCTACCATTTCTACAAAAACTATTCCAAAAAAATTGAGGAACAGGGACTCCTCCCTAACTCATTCTATGAGGCCATCATCATCTTCAAAACAAAATCTGGCAGGGAAACAAACAAACAAAACTTTCAGGGCAATATCCTTGATGAACATAGATGCAAAATTTTTTAACAAAATACTAGAAAACCATATCCAGCAGGACACAAAAAGCTAATCCATCACAAACAAGTAGGCTTTATCCCTGGGGTGCAAGTTTGGCTCAATATATGTAAATCAATAAATGTGATTTACTACATAAACAGAACTAAAAACAAAAACAACATGATCATCTCAATAGATGCAAAAAAGCTATTTGATAATATTCAACATTTATTTGTGTTAACAAACCTTAACACACTAGGCATTGAAGGAATATGCTTCAAACTTATGTGAGCCATCTATGACAAACACAAAGCCAAAATCATACTGAACGGGCAAAAGCTGGAATTACTCCCCTTGAAAACCAGAACAAGACTAGGATGCCCACTTTCACCACTTCTATTCAACATAGTATTGGAAATCCTAGCCAGAGCAGTGAGGCAAGAGAAAAAAAAAATGAAATGCACACAAATAGGAAGCAAGCAAGTAAAACTATCTCTGTTTGTAGATGGTATGATTTTATATCTAGAAAACTCCATAGCCTCTGCCCAAAAGCTCCTAGATCTGATAAACACCTTCAGCAAAGTTTCAAAATACAAAATCAATGCATAGAAATCGATAGCATTTCTATGCACCAACAATGTCCAAGCTGAGAACCAAATACAAATACAATTCCATTCCTAATAGCCACAGAAAAGTACCTAGGAATATAACTAAACAGGAAGATAAAAGATCTCTACAACAAGAATTACAAAACACTGCTGAAATAAATAAGAGATGACACAATCAAATGGAAAAATATATCATGCTCATGGATAGAAAGAATCACTATCTTTAAATGACCATATTGCCCAAAGCAATTTACATATCTAATGCTATTCCTATAAAACTAGTAATGGCATTCTTCATAGAATTAGAAAAAACTATTTTAAAATTTATATGAAACTGAAAAAGAGCTCAAATAGTCAATTCTAAGCAAAAAGAACAAAACTGTAGGCATCACATTACCCAACTTCAAGCTATACTACATGGCTACAGTAACCAAACAATCATAGTGCTGGTACCAAAACAGACACAAAGACAAATGGAACAGAATAGAGGACCCAGAAATAAAGCCACAAGCCTACAACCATCTGATCTTTGATAGTCATGAAAAATGAGCAATGAGGAAAGGACACCCTAGCCAGTAAATTATGCTGAGATAACTGGGTTGCCATATGCAAAGATTGAAGTTAGACCTCATCTTTGCACCATATACAAAAATCAACTCAAGATGAATTAAAGACTTCAATGTAAAACCTAAAACTATAAGAACCCATGAAGATAACCTAGGAAATACTATTCTGGACATAGGCCCTGAAAAGATACCATGATAAAGATGTCAAAGCAATTGCAACAAAAACAAAAATTGACAAACGGGATCTAATTAAACTAAATGGCTTCTGCACAGCAAAAGAAACTGTCAACAGACAGTAACCTACATAATGGGAGGGGAAAACATTACCTACATAACTGGAGAAAACATTTGTAAATTACACATCTGACAAAGGCCTAGTCAGAATTTATAAGAAACTTAAATATACAAGCAAAAAACAAACACCCCATTAAAAAGTTTACAAAGAATATGACCAGACACTTTTCAAAAGAAGACATACACATGGCCACCAGGTATATGAAAAAACGCTGAACATCACTAATCATTAGAGAAATGCAAATCAAAACCACAGTGCAATACTATCTCACATCGGTCAGAATGGCTATTATTAAAAAGTCAAAAAATAACAGATGCTGGTGAGGTTACAGAGCAAAGGGAATTCTTATACACTGCTGGTGAGAACGCAAATTAGTTCCACCACTGTGGAAAGCGGTTTGGTGATTTCTCAAAGAATTTAAAACAGAAGTAACATTTAACCCAGCAATTCCATTATTGGATATATACCCAAAGGAACATAAATCATTCTACCACAAAGACAAATGCACACGTACATTCATTGTAGCACTACTCACAATAGCAAAGTCATGGAATTAACACTAATGCCCAACAACAGTGGACTGGATAAAGAAAATGTGGTACATATACACCATAGAGTACTACACAGTCATGTAAGAGTGAGATCATGCCCTAGCATCAACATGGATGGAGTTGGAGGCCATAATCCTAAGTTAACTGGTGCAGAAAAAGAAAAGCAAATACTGCACATTCTCACTTATAAGTGGGAGCTAAACATTGCGTACACATTTTCACAAAGATGGGAATAATAGACACTGGGACCTACTTGAGGGTGGAGGTTTGAAGGAGGAAGAAGATTGAAAAACTACCTATTAGATACTATGTTTATTACCTGTGTGATGAAATAATCTATAAACCAAATTCTGGTAACATGTAATTTACCTATATAACAAACCTACACATGTACCCCTGAACATAAAATAAAAATTTAAAAAAATAAAAATTAATACATTTTAAAAGGTTCTCACACACATAGTTTTATGGGTGAATTGTAACATAATTTTAAGAAATACTTGATTTCTAACATACACATTTTTTCAGAAAATAGAAAATAGAAGCTTCCTGGCCTTTTATATGATGGAATGTAGCCTTGACTCCAATATCATAAAATTTTAGAACAGAAAAAGAGAACAGGGCCATTTCATTAGTAAATATAGTTAAAATTTAGTAGAAAACATTAATTTACCAATTTCAGAGATACACTTAAAACAAATCTAAATAAAACATTGTGATCAGTACAAAAAAAGAAGAATGTAGAATTGGTTTCTACTGTGATGCTTACACAAAATATATTATTAACTTTTTATCTTAAAATACATGAATTTAAGGCTATTACCTCTTATTAATAATACTGTATTTGCATCTCAGAAATACAGTAGTCTTTCAGATTATGTTAACTACCTTAATATGAAAAATAGTAAGGGGCAAAAGTCCAATTTTTTATGAAGTAATAATCATTTTCTCTCACATATTATCTAACTAGCGTTGTTCATTCTGATTGTTTATTAGTAGTTTAAAAAATATCTTTTTTGAAAAAGTGTTATTTCTTGTGAATGTTGTCTGTACATATTTATATCAAGTGCCACATAATAGTGTAAGTCAAAATGGATTTTATTTCTTCAAAAGAGTTAAACATTAAAAATTAAATAACCCTTAATAACCCAAACAATGATTTATTATATCTCACTTGACAGTATATGCCTTTTAAATCATAATTATTACAAATAAAATATTTTAAAACATGCCCTTAATCACCTAGGATTATACACTCCAGGTTTTGTGAAATTTACTAAATAAAATGAATTAACACAAAAATTTTAGAGATTTAGTTCCAGGTTATATAATGGGGAAGGGAGTCTATGTGTGTTTTTGTTTTCTATAGGAGAGGGAAAGAATTAATTTTAAAGTGAGATGAATGACTTTGAAATGTTTTAGTATTATTGGCTTAAATCGTTACTTTTGTCATATAGATGAGGCTTTCAAATCAAGCATTAAATAATTTCTTCACATATTTAACGTCTATAAAGTGTTTACTCTGCTCCAGATACCATTCTAAGCAGTTTACATATACTACACATACATGTAAAAATATATTTACATATAGCAACCCCATGAGGCAGGTACTGTTACTATTCTCATTTGATAGATGAGGTAGCTAAAACACAAAGGCCTATCGGTTTTTTAGTGGCAAATACATAATTTCCAGTATTCAAACTACGTTATGCTGCCTCTCTTCCATTCTTCCCAATTCTTCCAAATAGGATTCTTCCCAATAGGATTTTGGACTTTGCTTTGTAAAAATAATCTGAGAAATCTAATGAGAAAAGACAAGTTACCCTCCAATGTTACAACTTAGATTATTCAATTTATTCAGTCAATAAATATTTATTGAGTACCTACTGGATGTTAATTAGGTATTCATGTTACATCAGTGAAGAAAATGGGGATATTCTTTGCCCTCATTCAGGACAGAAAACCAGAATATTATAACCACATAAATAATTACATAATTACAAATTTTTTGATTCTGTAGAAGAATAGTAATGTAGCTAGATGAGAGTATGACAGAGACCTGGAAGAAGGTAGTATTTGTGGGGGATTAGCATTGCCAACTTTCATAAAATGTAGTATCTAACTCACCCAGACATGTAAGTTAACTGGGCTCAGTTGGAAAGTTCTCACTTGAGGTTTCTCATATTGTTGTAGGCATATAATGACTGGGGCTAGAGTCAACTAAAGGCATGACTGGGAAGACATTTAATAAGATGGCTTCCTCAATCACATGTCTAGCACTTCAACTGGAATGGTGTTTCATATAGTTAGCTTGGTCTTTTTTACAACGTGGTAGTCTCTAGATAGCACAACTTATTTCATGGTGGTTGACTTCCCCCAGAGTGTGTATTGCAAAGACTCAGGCACAAATTGCAAGGCTTCTAATGACCTAGGCTGTAAAAACATATATTACTTCTGTCACATTTTATTGTTCCTAAAGCAAGTCAAAGGTCAGCCCAAATTCAAGGAGAGGAAAATAGGCAGGGACATGAATATGGGAGGCATGGTTCATTGGGGAGCCATGTTTTGGTGTTAGCTACCACAATTTTCCATTTTCTCTATTCTCTGTTTCCACAGCTTCTACTAGATGGATGTTGGACCTTGTGGATTCGTTTCCTATTTTAAAAATCTTTTCTTTTCTATTTTGCTTCTCTCGGTCTTTTTTCTTCTTTCTGGAATATTTTCTTAACTTTTTATCCAACCTATTTATTGAGTTATATATTTCTGTTTTATTTTTTATTTCCATGAGCTTGTTCTTATCCCATACTTTTCCTTATTTCATAGTATGCTGTTCCCATTTCTTGATACAACCTTTTTTCTCTCTCTCTTCTGGTATTAATTTTACAACAGCTTGTTGCTGTTGTGAGTTTTGTTTAAGTTTACTATCCCTGGACTACTATATTTCCTCCAATATTCTCACCCCATCCCAATTTTGGCCTGCTTTTGTCTCTGCATTGAATGTTAAAGTCTTTTCTCAAATACCGTGTGATTTAAGATGCTTAACCCTCAGATTTATGAATGAGGCACTAAAAAAGTTGATTGAGTGAAGCTTATCAACTAATGACACCCTGAGAAATTCTGTAGGAATTTGGTCATTTTATGAGCCTTTTCTCATTAGCTACTGAGTTTCCCTAGGAAGGAATCATCCAAATTCTTGTCTAGATGCATAAGTTTAAGTACCAATATTCTAAAAACCCAAGTAAAAAAGGAGGCTGTTGGCTTCTGTATTTCTTAGGTTTCTTCAGAGAAATCGAACCAATGAAATATGTGTATACACAGAAAGACATGTATTTATATAAAGATGTGTGTGTGTGTGTGTGTGTGTGTGTGTGTGTATAGTAAGAAATTTATTATTAGGAATTGGCTTATGTGACTATACAGACTGGCAAGTCAAAATCTTCCATGTAGGTCCACAGACACCAGATCCAGAAGAGCCATTGGTGCAGTTCCAGTCCAAAGGCTGGCAAGCAGAGACCCTGGAGGGTTGATGTGCAGGTAAAATTTGAAAATGAAGATAAAGTCTTCTGGAGAATTTCATCTTGCTCAGGAGTTCAATCTTTTTGTTTTATTTAGGCTTTCAAGTGGTTACATTAAGCCCACCCACATTAGGAAGAGCAATCTGCTTACTCAAAGTTCACAAATTGAAATCTTAATTTCATCCAAAAGCACCCTTAAAGTTGACATATAAAATTAGCCATCACAGTCTCACTGATTAGTATGTAGACTTTCAACTAATTTACTGTGAGGTTTTCAAAAAAGTACCTTATCTTCATCGTTAGTTGTAACTGGTATCACTAAGACCAGAGCCCCTCTCTTTTTTAAGAAATGGAGTATCACTATGTTGCCCAGGCTGGCCTTGAACTTTTGGTCTCAGGCAATCCTCTCACCTCAGCCTCCTGAGTAGATGGAACTATAGGCATGCAGCAACATGCCTGGCTCCTGAGCCCTTTTGTTTAAAACTCTTTACAGACTAAACTTCCAGCCCATGGCTGCTCTGACCAATAGAATGTGGCAAAAGGGATGCTATGCCAATTCTGGGCCTAGACTTTATTTTTTATTTAGTATTGACATTCTGTAACTTGTAAGTTGTACTTTATTATTAGAAGCACTCTGCTACTTAACTTTTCCAGGTCAACAAGAAAAAATTACTTTATGACCAGAAATAATAAGATATAAGAAAGATAATTTTAGGAAAAACATGAAAGATGGATTTGCTTTTCTTAATTTTTTAATTTTAATATCTTTAGAGCTACAAGCGGATTTTTTGTTACATGGATAAATTGTATAATGGTAAAGTTAGGATTTTAGTGCACCCATCACCTGAGTAGTGTACATATTACCCAATAGTTAGTTTTTCATTCATCACCTCCCACCCAACCTTACCCCTTCTGCATCTCCAATGTCTATTATGCCATTCTGTATGCCTTTGTGTACACATAGCTTAGTTCCCACTTATATGTGAGAACATGTGGTATCTGCTTTTCAATTCCCAAGTTAGTTCACTTAGAACAATGGCTTCCATTTCGCTCCAAGTTGCTGCAAAATACATTATTTTGTTCTTTTTATGACTGATTAGTATTTCATGGTGTGTGAATATATATATAGTCATATTTATACTTATATTTATATTCCATTATTTTTATCCACTCATCAGCTTATGGGCAAGTAGCTTGATTCCATGTCTTTACAGTTGTAAATTGTGCTGCAATAAACATACATATGCAGGTGTCTTTCTGATATACTGACTTCTTTTTCTTTTCCTTTGGGTAGTTACACAGTAGTGGGATTGCTGGATCAAATTGTAGAGCTACTTTTAGTTCTTTGAGAAATCTCCATACTGTTTTTCATAAAGATTTTGCTAATTTACATTCCCACTGGTAGTGCATAAGCATTTCTTTTTCACCATATCTATGCCAATATCTATTGTTTTTCACTTTTTAAAAATGGCCACTCTGACTAGGGTAAGGTGATATCACAATAGGATTTTAATTTGTATTTCCCTGATTACTAATAACGTTGAGAATTTTTTCATGTATGTTGGCCATTTATATATCTTCTTTTTGTGTTTTGTTAAGATTTTATAATTTTGTAGGTTTTTGGGGAACAGGTGGTATTTGGTTACATAAGTAAGTTCTTTAGTGGTGATTTGTGAGATTTTGGTGCACCCATCTCTTGAGCAGTATACACTGAACCCAATTTGCAGCCTTTTATCCCTTACTCTTTTCCCACCCTTTCCCCTTGAGTCCCCAAGGCCCATCGTGTGATTCTTATGCCTTTGCATCCTCACAGCTTAGCTCCCACTTATGAGCGAGAAAATACAATGTTTGTTTTTCCATTCCTGAGTTTCTTCACTTAGAATAATAGTCTCCAATCCCACCCAGGTTGCTGTGAATGCTATTAGTTCATTTCTTTTTATGACTGAGTAGTATTCCATTGCATATATATACCACAGTTTCTTTATCCAGTCTGATTGATGGGCATTTGGGTTGGTCCCACATTTCTGCAATTGCAAATTGTGCTGCTGTAAACATGCGTGAGCAAGTATCTTTTTCGTATGATTACTTCTTTTCCTCTGGGTAGTGAGATTGCTGGATTAAATGATAGATCTACTTTTATTTCTTTACGGAATCTCCATACTGTTTTCCATAGTGGCTGCACTAGTTTACATTCCCACCAGCAGTGTAGAAGTGTTCCCTCCTCACCACATCCATGCCAACATCTTTTTTTTTTTAATTTTTTGATTATGGCCATTCTTGCAGGAGTAGGGTGGTATCGCATTGTAGTTATGATTTACATTTCTCTGATCATTAGTAATGTGGATAATTTTTTAATATGTTTGTTGGCCATTTGTATATCTTCTTTTAAGATTATCTATTCATGTCCTTAACCCACTTTTTGGTGGGTTTTTCCTTGCTAATTTGTTTGAGTTCATTGTAGATTCTGGATATTAGTCATTTATCAGATGTATAGATTGTGAAGATTTTCTCCCACTCTATGGGTTGTCTGTTTACTCTGCTGACTGTTCCTTTTGACGTGCAAAAGCTCTTTAGTTTAATTAAGTCCCAGCTATTTATCTTTGTTTTTATTGCATTTGCTTTTGGGTTCTTGGTCATGAAATTGTTGCCTAAGCGAATGTCTAGAAGGGTTTTCCCAATGTTATCTTCTAGAATTATTATAGTTTCAGGACATAGATTTAAGTCCTTGATCTATCTTAAGTTTGTTTTTGTATAAAGAGAGAGGTGAGGATCCAGTTTCATTCTCCTACATGTGGCTTGCCGATTATCTCAGCACCATTTGTTGAATAGGGTGTCCTTTCCCCACTTTATGTTTTTGTTTGCTATGACAAAGATCAGTTGGCTGTAAGGATTTGGGTTTATTTCTGGGTTCTCTATTCTGTTCCAATGGTCTATGTTCCTATTTTTATGCCAGTACCATGCTGTTTGGTGACTATGGCCTTATAGTATAGCTTGAAATCAGATAATGTGATGCCTCCAGATTTGTTCTTTTTGCTTAGTCTTGCTTTGGCTATGTGGGCTCTTTTTTGGCTTTCTATGAATTTTAGGATGGTTTTTTCTGCTCTGTGAAGAATGATGGTGATATTTTGATGGGAATTGCGTTGAATTTGTAGATTGCTTTTGGTAGGATGGTCATTTTCACAATATTGATTCTACCCATTCATGAGCATGGGATATGTTTCTATTCATTTATGTTGTCTATCATTTCTCTCAGCAGTGTTTTATAGTTTTCTTTGTAGAGGTCTTTCATCTCCTTGGTTAGGTATATTCCTAAGTATTTTTTTTCAGGTATTTTAAAAGGGGTTGAGTTCTTGATTTGATTCTCAACTTGGTTGCTGTTAGTGTATAGGAGAACTACTGATTTGTGTACACTAATTTTGTATCTTGAAATTTTGCTGAATTCTTTGATCCGTTCTAGGAGCTTTCTGGAGGAGTCTATAGGGTTTTCTAGGTACACAATCATATCATCAGCAAACACCGAGAGTTTGACTTTCTCTTTACTAATTTGAATGCCCTTTATGTATTTCCTTTGTCTGATTGCTCTGGCTAAAACTTCCAGTACTACGTTGAATAGAAGTAGTGAGAGTGGGTATCCTTGTCATGTTCTGTTTCTCAGAAGGAATACTTTCAACTTTTCCATATTCAGTATTATGTTGGCTGTGGGTTTGTCATAGATGGCTTTTACTACATTGAGGTATGTCTCTTGTATGTTGATTTTGCTGAGAGTTTTAGTCATAAAGGGATGCTGGATTTTGTCAAATGCTTTTTCTGTGTCTATTGAGATGATCATGTAATTTTTGTTTTTAATTCTCTTTATAAGGTGTGTCACATTTATTGACTTGCATATGTTAAGTCACATTTATTGACTTGCATACCATCCCTGCATCTCTGGTATGAAACCTACTTGATCACAATGGACTATCTTTTTAATGTTGTTGGATTTGGTTAGCTAGTATTTTGTTGCAATTTTGGCATCTATGTTCATCAGGGATACTGGTCTGTAGTGTTCTTTTTTGGTTAAGTCCTTTCCTGGTTTTGGTATTAGGGTAATACTGGCTTTAGAGAATGGTTTAGGGAGGATTCCCTCTTTGTCTATTTTGTGGAATAGTGTCAACAGGATTGATACCAATTTTCTTTGAATGGCTAGTAGAATTCAGCTGTGAATTCTTTGAATGACTGGTAGAATTCCGTCTGGTTCTGGACTTTATTTTGCTGATAATTTTTAACTTACCATTTCAATCTCGCTGCTTGTTATTGGACTGTTCAGGATATCTAATTTTTCCTGATTTAAGGTAGGAGAATTGTATTTTTTCAGAAATTTATTCATCTTTTCTAGGTTTTCTAGTTTACGTGTGTAAAGGTGTTCATAGTAGCCTTAAATAACCTTTTGTATTTCTGTGGTGTCAGTTCTAATGCCTTCTGTTTCATTTCTAATTGAGCTTAATTGGGTTTTCCCTATTCTTTTCCTGGTTACTCTTGCTAATGGTCTGTCAACTTTGTCTTTTCAAAGACCCAGCTTTTTGTTTCCTTTACCTTTTGTATTTTATTTTGTTTGTTTCAACATTTATTACTGCTCTGATCTTGGTTATTTCCTTTCTTCTGCTGGGTTTGTGTTTGGTTTGTTCTTGTTTCTCTAGTACCTTGAGGTGTGACCTTAGATTGTCTATTTGTGCTTTTTCACACTTTTTGATGTAGGCATTTAGGGCTATATATGTTCCTCTTAGCACCACATTTGCTGTATCCCAGAAGTTCTGATAGGTTGTGTCACTATTGTCATTCTGTTGGAAGAATTTTTTAATTTCTTTTTTTTCTTTTTTTTTTTTTTGAGATGGAGTTTCGCTCTGTTGCCCAGGCTGGAGTGGAGTGGCATGATCTCGGCTCACTGCAAGCTCCGCCTCCTGGGTTCACGCCATTCTCCTGCCTCAGCCTCCTGAGTAGCTGGGACTACAGGCGCCTGCCACCACGCCTGGCTAATTTTTTTTGCATTTTTAGTAGAGACAGGGTTTCACTGTGTTAGCCAGGATGGTCTCGATCTCCTGACCTCATGATCTGCTGCCGTTGTTGACCCAATGATCAACTGAGAGCAGGTTATTTAATTTTCATATACTTGCATGGCTTTGAAGGATCCTTTTGGAGTTGATTTCCAATTTTATTCCACTGTGGTTTGAGAAAGTACTTGATATAATTTCAATTTTTAAAATATATTGAGACTTGTTTTGTGGTCTATTGTATGGTCTGTCTTGGAGAAAGTTCCATGGGCTGATGAATAGAATGTGTATTCTGTGGTTGCTTGGTAGAATGTTCTGTAAATATCTGTTAAGTCCATTTGTTTCAGGGTACAGTTTAAATCCATTTTTTTTGTTGATATTCTGTCTCAATGACGTGTCTAGTGCTGTCAATGAAGTACTGAAGTCCCTGACAATTATTGTGTTGCCGTCTATCTCATTTCTTAGGTCCAGTCGTAATTGTTTTATAAATTTAGGAGCTCCAATGTTAAGTGCATATATATTTAGGATTGTGACATTTTCTGTTGGATAAGGGTTTTTATTATTATATAATATTTCTCTCTTTTTTAACTGCTATTGCTTTAAAGTTTGTTTTGTCTGATATAAGAATAGCTAGTCATTCTCAGTAAACTATCGCAAGGACAAAAAAACCAAACACCGCATGTTCTCACTCATAGGTGGGAATTGAACAATGAGAACACATGGACACAGGAAGGGGAACATCACACTCTAGGGACTGTTGTGGGGTGGGGGGAGGGGGGAGGGTTAGCATTAGGAGATATACCTAATGCTAAATGACGAGTTAATGGGTGCAGCACACCAGCATGGCACATGTATACATATGTAACTAACCTGCACATTGTGCACATGTACCCTAAAACTTAAAGTATAATAATAATAAAAAAAAATTCAAACTTCAAAAAAAAAAAAAAAAGAATAGCTAGTCTTGCTTGCTTTTGATGTCCATTTGCATGGAATGTCTTTTTCCACCCCTTTACTTTAAGTTTATATGAGTCCATATGTATTAGTTGGGTCTCTTGAAGGCAGCAGATAGATGGTTGGTGAATTCATATTTATTCTGCAAGTCTGTATCTTTTAAGTGGAGCATTTAGGTCATTTACATTTAATGTTAGTATTGAGATGTGACGTACTATTTATTCATCATGCTATTTGTTGCCTGTATACCTTGGTGCTGTTTTTAATTGTATTTTTGTTTTATAGTTCTGTCAGATTTATGCTTTAAAGAGGTTCTGTTTTGATGTGTTTCCAGGATTTGTTTCAAGATTTAGAGCTCATTTTAGCAGTTCTTGTAGTGCTGCCTTGGTAGAGGTGAATTCTCTGCGTTTGTTCAAAAATGACCATATCTTTTCTTCCTTTATGAAGCTTAGTTTTGCTGGATACAAAAATTCTTGGCTAATAATTGTTTTGTTCAAGGAGGCTTAAGATAGGGCTCGATACCCTTCTAGCTTGTAAAATTTCTGCTGATAAATAAATAATCTGATAGGTTTTCTTTTACAGGTTACCTGGTGCTTTGGCTCAAAGCTCTTAAGATTACTTTCGTCATCTTAACACTAGATAACCTGATGACAACGTGCCTAGGTGATGATCTTTGTGTGATACATTTCCCAGGTGTTTTTGAGCTTCTTGTATTTGCTTATCTAGGTATCTAGCAGGGCTGGGTAAGTTTTCCTATATTTTTTTCCAAATATGTTTTCCAAACTTTTAGACTGCTCTTCTTCCTCAGGAAAGCCAATTATTCTTAGGTTTGGTCATTTAACATAATCCCAGACTTTTTGGAGGCTTTGTGCATTTTTTCTTATTCTTTCTACTTTCTTTCTTTTTTCTTTTTTTTACTTCAAGTTCTGGGATACAAGTGCAGAACGCGCAGGTTTTTTTACATAGGTATACATGTGCCATGGGGGTTTGCTGCACCTATCAACCTGTTATCTAGGTTTTCAGAACTGCATGCATTTGGTATTTGTCCTAATGTTCTCCATCCCCTTGCCCCACATCCCCCAACAGACCCCATTGCATAATGTTCCCCTCCCTGTGTCCACGTGTTTTCATTGTAAAACTCCCACTTATGAGTGAGAATATGTGGTGTTTGGTCTTCTGTTCCTGTGTTAGTTTGCTGAGAATGATGGCTTCCAGCATCAACCATGTCCTTGCAAAGGACATGAACTCATTTTTTTTTATGGCTGCATAGTATTCCATGGTGTATATGTGCCACATTTTCTTTATCTGGTCTATCATTGATGGGCATGTGGGTTGGTTTCTAGTCTTTGCTATTGTAAATAGTGCTGCAATAAACATGTGTGCATGTGTCTTTATAGTAGAATGATTTATAATCCTTTGGGTATATACTCAGTAATGGGATTGCTGGGTCAAATGGTATTTCTGGTTCTAGATCCTTGAGGAATCACCAAACTGTCTTCCACAATGCCTTGAACTAATTTACATTCCAACCAACAGTGTAAAAGCATTCCTATTTTTCCATAGCCTTGCCAGCATCTGTTGTTTCCTGATTTTTTAATGATCACCATTCTAACTGGTGTGAGATGGTATTACATTGTGGTTTTGATTTGCATTTCTCTAATGACCAGTGATGATGAGCTTTTTAAAATATATTTGTTGGCTGCATAAATGTCTTCTATTCAGAAGTGTCTGTTCACATCCTTTGCCCAATTTGGATGGGGTTGTGTGTTTTTTTTCTTGTAAATTTAAGTTCCTTATAGATTCTGGATGTTAGACCTTTGTCAGATGAGTAGATTGCAAAATTTTCTCCCATTCTGTAGGTTGCCTGTTCACTCTGATGATAGTTTCTTTTGCTGTGCAGAAGCTCTTTAGTTTTATTAGATCCCATTTGTCAATTTTGACTTTTGTTCCAATTACTTTTGGTGTTTTAGTCATGAAGTCTTTCCCCATGCCTGTGCTTGAATGATATTGCCTAGGTTTTCTTCAAGGGTTTTTATGGTTTTTGGTTTTACATTTATGTGTTTAATCCATCTTGAGTTAACTTTTGTATAAGGTGTAAGGAAGGGGTCCAGTTTCCATTTTCTGGATATGGCCAGCCAGTTTTCAAGCACCATTTATTAAATAGGGAATCCTTTTCCCATTGCTTATTTTTGTCAGGTTTGTCAAAGATCAGATGGTTGTAGATGTGTAGTGTTATTTCTGAGGCCTCTGTTCTGTTCCATTGATCTATATAACTGTTTTGGTTCCAGTACCCTGCGGTTTTGGTTACTGTAGCCTTGTAGTATAAAGTCTGGTAGCGTGACGCCTCCAGCTTTGTCCTTTTTTTCTTAAGCTGATCTTGGATATGCGGCCTCTTGTTTGGTTCCATATGAAATTTAAAGTAGTTTTTTCTAATTCTGTGAAGAAAGTCAATGGTAGCTTGATGGAGATAGCATTGAATCTATAAATTCCTTTGGGCAGTATGGCCATTTTCATGATATTGACTCCTATCTATGAGCATGAAATATTTTTCCATTTGTTTGTGTCCTCTCTTATTTCCTTGAGCAGTAATTTGTATTTCTCCTTGAAGAGGTCTTTCACTCCCTTGTAAGCTAAATTCCTGGGTATTTTATTCTCTTTGTAGCAATTGCGAATGGAAGTTCACTCAGGATTTGGCTCACTGTTTGTCTATTTTTGGTGTATAGGAATGCTTGTGATTTTTGCACATTGATTTTGTACCCTGAGACTTGGCTGAAGTTGCTTATCAGCTTAAGGAGATTTTGGGCTGAGACAATGGGGTTTTCTAATATACAACCATGTCATCTGCAAACAGAAACGATTTGACTTCCTCTCTTCCTATTTGAATACCCATTGCTTCTTTCTTTTGCCTGATTGTCCTGGCCTGAACTTCCAATACTATGTTGAATAGCAGTAGTGAGAGAGGGCATCCTTGTCTTGTGCTTCAAGACTTTGCCAATTCAGTATGATATTGGTTATGGGTGTGTCATAAATAGCTCTTATATTTTGTGATACATTCCATCAATACCTAGTTGATTGAGAGTTTTTAGCATGATGGGATGTTGAATTTTATCAAATGCCTTTTCTGCATGTATTTAAATAATCACGTGGTTTTTGTCATTGGTCCTTTATGTGATGGATTAAGTTTATTGATTTGTATTTGTTGAACCAGCTGTGCATCACAGGGATGAAGCCTCCTTGATCGTGGTGCATAAGCGTTTTGATGTGCTGCTGGATTTGGTTTGTTGGTATTTTATTGAGGATTTTTGCATCAATGTTCATCAGGGATATTGGCCTGAAATTTTATTTTTTTGTTGTGTCTCTGCCAGGTTTCGGCATCAGGATGATGCTGGCCTCATAAAATTAGTTGAGGAGAAGTCCCTCTTTTTCTGTTGTTGAAATAGTTGCAGATGGAATGGTACCAGACCCTCTTTGTATGTCTGGTAGAATTTTGCTGTGAATCCGTCTGGTCCTGGGCCTTTTTTGGTTGGTAGGCTATTAATTACTGCCTCAGTTTTAGAACTTGTTATTGGTCTACTCAGGGATTTGACTTCTTCCTGGTTTAGTCTTGGGAGGGTGTGTGTGTGTCCAGGAATTTATCCATTTCCTCTAGATTTTCTTGTTTATTTGCGTAGACGTGTTTGTAGTATTCTCTGATGGTAGTTTGTATTTCTGTGGGATCAGTGGTGATAGATATCCCCTTTATCATTTTTTATTGTGTCTATTTGATTCTTCTCTCTTTTCTTCTTTATTAGTCTAGCTAATGGTCCATCTGTTTTGTTAATCTTTTCAAAAAACCAGCTGGTAGTCTCGATTTTTAAAGGGCTTTTCATGTCTCTATCTCCTTCAGTTCTGCTCTGATCTTATTACTTGTCTTCTGCTAGCTTTTGAATTTTTTTGCTCTTGCTTCTATGGTTCTTTTAATTGTGATATTCGAGTGTCAATTTCAGATCTTTCCACCTTTCTGATGTGGGCATTTAGTGCTACAAATTTCACTCTAAACACTGCTTTAGCTGTGTCCCAGAGTTTCTAGTACGTTGTCTCTTTGTTCACATTGGTTTCAAGGAACTTCTTGATTTCTGCCTTAATTTCTTTATTTACCCAGTAGTCATTCAAGAGCAGGTTGTACAGTTTCCATGTAGTTGTGCAGTTTTGAGTGATTTTCTTAATCCTGAGTTCTAATTTGATTGCACTGTGGTCTGAGAGACTGTTTGTTATGATTTTCATTCTTGTGCATTTGCTGAGGGGTGTTTTACTTACAATTATGTTTTTGATTTAAAATACATGCTATGTGGTGCTAAGAAGAATGTATATTCTGTTGATTTGGAATGTAGAGTACTGTAGATGTCTATTAGGTCCACTTGGTCTAGAGCTGAGTTCAAGTCCTGAGTATCTTTGTTTATTTTCTGTCTCGTTGATCTGTCTAATATTGACAGTGTGGTGTTAAAGTCTCCCACTATTATTGTGTGGGGGTCTAAGTCTCTTTGTAGGTATCTAAGAACTTCTTTTATGAATTTGGGTGCTCCTGTATTGGGTGCATATATGTTTAGAATAGTTATCTCTTCTTGTTGCATTGATCCCTTTACCATTATGTAATGCTCTTCTCTTTTTTTGGTCTTTGTTGGTTTAAAGTCTGTTTTATTAGACACTAGGATTGCAACCCCTGCTTTTTTTTGCTTTCCATTTGCTTAGTAGATATTCCTCCATCCCTTTATTTTTAGTCCGTGTGTGTCTTTGTGCATGAAATGGGTCTCCTGAAAGCAGCACACCAATGAGTCTTGACTCTTTAGCTAATTTGCCAGTCTGTTTCTTTTAATTGGGGCATTTAGCCCATCTACATTTAAGGTTAATATTGTTATGTGTGAATTGGATCCTGTCATCATGATGCTAGCTGGTTATTTTACACATTAGTTGATGCAGTTTCTTCATAGTGTCATTGGTCTTTATATTGTGTGTTTTTCCAGTGGCTGGTCCCAGTTTTTCCTTTCCATATTTAGTGCTTCCTTCAGGAGCTCTTGTAAGGCAGACCTGGTGGTGATAAAGTCCTTCAGCATTTGTTTGTAAAGGATTTTATTTCTCCTTCCCTTATGAAGCTTAGATTGGCTGGATATGAAATTCTGGCTTGAAAATTCTTTTCTTTAAGAATGTTGAATATTGGCCCCCACTCTCTCCTGGCTTGTAAAGTTTCTGCAGAGAGATCTGCTTTTAGTCTGATGAGCTTCCCTTTGTAGGTAACCTAACTTTTCTGTCTGGCTACTCTTAACATTTTTTTCCTTCATCTCATCCTTGGGTAATCTGACAATTATGTATCTTGGGGTTGCTCTTCTTGAGAGGTATTTTAGTGGTGTCCTCTGTATTTTCTGAATTTGAACGTTGGTCTGTCTTTCTAGTTTAGGGAAGTCCTCCTGGGTAATATTCTTAAGTGTGTTTTCCAACTTAGGTCCATTCTCCCCGTCACTTTCGGGTACACCAATCAGTCATAGGTTTGGTCTTTTCACATAGTCCCATATTTCCTGGAGGCTTTGTTAGTTCATTTCATTCTTTTTTCTATAATCTTGTCTCATGCCTTATTTCATTCATCAAGTTGATCTTCAATCTCTGATATCCTTTCTTCCACTTGATTGATTCAGTTATTGATACTTGTGTATGCTTCACGAAGTTCTCGTGCTGTGTTTTTCAGCTCCATCAAGTCATTTATGTTCTTCTCTAAACTGGTTATTCTAGTTAGCAGTTCCTGTAACCTTTTAGCAAGGTTCTTAGCTTCCTTGCATTAGGTTAGAACACACTTCTTTAGCTCAGAGGACTTTGTTATTACCCACCTTCTGGAGCCTACTTCTGTCAATTCGTCAGTCTCATTCTCCACCCAGTTTTCTGCCCTTGCTGGAGAGCAGTTGTGATCATTTGGAGAAGAGTCATTCTGGTTTTTGGAATTTTCATCGATTTTGTGCTGTTTTTTCCTCATTTTGGTGGAGTCATCTACCTTTGATCTTTGAGGCTGATGACCTTTGGATGAGCTTTTTGTGTGGGGGTCTTTTATGTTGATGTTGATGTTGTTGATTTCTGTTTGTTAGTTTTTCTTCTGACAGCCAGGTCCCTCTTCTGCAGGTCTGCTGCAGTTTTCTGGAAGTCCGCTCCAGACCCTGTTCACCTGGCTATCACCAGCGGAAGCTGCAGAACAGCAAAGATTTCTGCCTGCTCCTTCCTCTGGAAGCTTCATCCCAGAGGGGCACCGGCCTGATGCCAGCCGGAGCTCTCCTGTATGAGGTATCTGTCGACCCCTGTTGGGAGGTTTCTCCCAGTCAGGAGGCTTGGGGGTCAGGGACCCACTTGAGGAAGTGGTCTGTCACTTAACAGAGCTGGTGCGCTGTGCTGGGAGAATCCTTCTTGTCAGGATCAGCTGCTCTCTTTAGAGCTGGCAGGCAGGAATGATTAAATCCACTGAAGCTGCACCCATAGCCACCCCTTTCCCCAGGTACTCTGTCCCAGGGAAATGAGGGTTTTGTCTGTAAGCCCCTGACTGGGGCTGTTACCTTTCCTTCAAAGATGCCCTGCTCAGTGAGCTGAAATCTAGAGAAGCAGTCTGGCCATAGCTGCTTTGCCATGCCCAGCCCAGACCTCTCAGTCTCCTAGCATTGTCAGGGAAAAACTGCCTACTAAAGCCTCAATAATGGCAGACACCCATCTCCCCTCAAAGCTCAATCATCCCACGTTGACTTCAGACTGCTGTGCTGGCAGCAAGAATTTCAAGCTAGTGGATCTTAGCTTGCTGCATTCCATGGGAGTGGGACCCACTGAGCGAGACCACTTGGCTCCCTGGCTTCAGCCCCCTTTCCAGGGGAGAGAACAGTTCTGTCTCACTGGGGTTCCAGGTGCCACTGGGGTATGAAAAAAACTCCTATGGCTAGCTTGGTGTCTGCCCAAACAGCAGCCCAGTTTTGTGCTTTCAACCTAGGGCCCTGTTGGTGTAGGCACATGAGGGAATCTCTTGATCTGCAGATTGCAAATACCGTGGGGAAAGCATAGTAATCCAGCTGGGTAGCACAGTCCCTCATGGCTTCCCTTGGCTGGGGGAAGGCTGGTCCCTGGCCCCTTGCACTTCTCTGGTGAAGCGACACCCCCACCCTGCTTCTGCTTGCCCTCCATGGGTTGGACTCATTGCCTAGCCAGTCCCAATTAGATGAAGTGGGCACTTCAGTTGGAAATGCATAAATCATCTGTCTTCTGCATTGGACTCACTGGGAGCTGCAGACTGGAGCTGTTCCTATTTGGCCATGTTGGCCCCTCCCTCTTGTTATTTTTTCTTTGTATTTGTCGGATTGGGTTAATTTGGAAACCTTGTTTTCGAGCTCTGAAGTTCTTTCTTTTGCTTGTTCAATTCTATTGCTGAGAGTTTCCAGAGCATTTTTCACTTCTCTAATTGTGTACACAATTTCCTGAAGTTTTTATTGTTTTTTATTTATGCTATCCATTTCACTGAAGATTTTTCCCCATGTTTCTCGTATCTTTTTTTAATATTTTTAAAATTTAGCTTCACCTTTCTCTGGTGCCTTCATGATTAGCTTAATAACTTACCTTCTGAATTCTTTTTCAGGTAAATCAGAAATTTCATCTTCGTTTGGATCCATTGCTGGTGAGCTAGGGTGATTTTTTGGGGGTTTTAAATAATCTTGTTTTGTCATATTACCAGAATTGTTTTTCTGATTTTTTTCTCATTTGGGAAGGCTATGTCAGAGGAAAGATCTAGGACTCAAGTAGCTCTTCAGATTCTTTTGTCTCATGGGGTGTTCCACTGATGTAGTACTCTCTCCCCACTTTTTTAGGCATATGGCTTTTTCAGAGCTGAGCTGTAGTGGTTGTTATCTATCTTCTGGATTTAGCCACCCAGCAGGTCTTCCAGGCTCCAGGCTGGTACTGGGGGTTGTCTGCACAGATTCCTGTGATGTGAGCCCTCTGCAGGTCTCTCAGCCATTTATACCAGCACCTGCTCTGGTGGAAGTGGAAGGGGGCTGAAATAGACTCTGTGAGGTTCTTTAGTTTTGGTTGTTTAATGTACTAATTTTGGGCTGGTTGGCCTCCTGCCAGGAGGTGGCACTTTCAAGACAGCCTCAGCTGTGGTAGCATAGGGAGAATCAGGCAGTGGGCTGTGCCCTAGAACTCCCAAGAGTATATGCCTTTTGTCTTCAGCTACCAGGGTGTGTAGGGAAAGGCCATTAGGTGGGGGTAGGGCTAGGCGCGTCTGAGCTCAGACTCTTCTTGGGTGGGTCTTGCTGCAGCTGCTGTGGGGGACTGGGGTATGGTTCCCAGGTCAATAGATTTATGTTCCCAGGATGATTATAGCTGCTTCTTCTGTGTCATGCAAGTTTTCAGGGAAGTGGGGGAAACCCAGTAGTCACAGCCCTCACCTAGCTCCCATGCAACCCAAAAGGCTGGTCTCATTCCCACCATACTCCCCCAAAAGCACTGAGTCTGTTTTCAGGCAGTGGGCGAGCAGGGCTTAGAACTTGCCCCAGGCTACCAGCCTTCCAGCTGCAAAAGTAAAGATGGCTTTTGTGCCACCCCACCTGTGGAGTCTGCACACTGAAAATCATGCCCTCCCTTGAGTTCTGGCCATTAGACTGTGTTCAGTTGGAATTGTTACAAAGTTCAGCTGGAGGTTTCCTTCTCCCTGTGGTTTTTTCCCAGTACCTCTGGTAGCCCTCCCAAAGGACCCCTGTGAGACTAGGCATAAATGGCTTGCTAGGGGACCCAGTAATCCCACAGGGCTTTTCTCACTGCTTCCTGTACCCCTGTATTTCGCTTGGCTCTCTAAATTGACTCAGTTCCACATAAGGTAAGAATCTTCTCCCATTACCTAGACCTTCAAGTTTCCCAGTGAGAGTGTGTGTTCGGGGGCAGAAGATCCCTCTTTCCTACATTAACTGCTTGGGCACTCACAGTATTTGTGGTGTCTCCTGGGTCTTGCAGGATCAATCCACTTTATTTCAGAGGGTCTTTGGGATTTTATGGCTTCCCTGGCTTATTCCTGCAGTAGTTCTGGAACAAAAGTTCATGATATGAGTCTCCACACACTGCTCTGTCCATATGTGTGGGAGCTGCCTATGTATCTTCTTTTGAGAAATGTCTATTCATATCCTTTGGCCACTTTTTAATAGGATTATTTGCTTTTATCTTGCTGATTTGTTTGGGTTCCTTGTAGATTCTGGATATTAGTCCTTTGTCAGATATATAATCTGAAAATATTTTATCTTGTTCTATAGGTTATCTGTTTAATCTGATTTTTTGTTGTTGTGAAGAATTTTTTTGGTTTAATTAAGTCCCATTTGTTTATTTATTTCTGTTGCATTTGCTTTTGGGGTCTTAGTCATAAATTCTTTGCCTAGGCCAATGTCCAGAAGAGTTTTTTTTTTAAATACATTTTCTTCTAAAGTTTTTATAATCTCAAACCTTAGATTTAGCTTACTCCATCTTGAGTTGATTTTTGTATACAGTAAGAGAGAAATCCAGTATTATTCTTAAACATGTGCCCATCCAATTTTCCCAGAATCATTTATTCAATAGCATGTCCTTTCCTCAATTTATGTTTTTTAATGCTTGTTCATAGATTAATTGATTGTAAATATTTGGTTTCATTTCTGGGTTCTCTATTCTGTTCCATTAACTTATGTATCTACTTTTATACCACACCGTTGAAGGCCGTAAGAATGAGGGTCGTGATCAACTCAGTATACCACTGGAGGCTATATGAGTAAACAGCAAACTGTTTCTCATAAAAGCAGGATGTTGGCAAACTGATAAACTGCGTCTGCCGCCCAGGGGGAGTGCTGAGGGCAGTCACAACCCAGGCACAAGTGTTTCTTGTGATTAGGCTTAATTGAAGCCTGTGAGCAATAATGTGAACCTGTGATCAATTAAGCTGTTGACCAATCCTTACCTCCTCCTCCCTGCTCTTTCTACCCAATAAATATGAAGGGCTGTAGAGGCTCAGATGGCTGCCTTTGCTCAGTAGAAGCAGGGAGCCCTTTTCTTCTTTTCTTCTTTCTTCTTCTTCCCCATGTTACCTTTCCTTTAAAATAGTTACTTTTGTCTTAAGTTTTCATTTCTACATTCTTCCCCCTTTGTTCAGTCTTGTAATGATGGTCTCAAGTAGTAACAGTAGTAACTGCAGTAATGAGGGTCTCAAGTAGTAACCGTGGCAGTCAGTCACACTATACCATGCTGTTTCCATTACTACAGCCTTGTATAATTTGAAGTTGTGTAATGTGATGCCTCCAAATGTATTAGTTTGCTTAGAATTGCTTTGGCTATTAAGGTTCTTTTTTGGTTCCATATGGATTTTAGAATTTTTTTTCTAATCCTATAAAAAATGTTGTTGCTATTTTGATAAAAAATGCATTTAATCTCTAGATTGCTTTGGGTAATATGGTCATTTGCATAATGTTTATGACACTGATTCTTCCAATTAATGATCATGGGATGTATTTCCATCTGCTTGTGTCATCTATAATTTCTTTCAGCAGTGGTTTGTAGTTCTCCTCATAGAGATCTTTAACCTGCTTCTTTAAGTATATTCCCAGATTCTTTTTATAGTCACTATAAAAGGGATTGAGTTCTTTATTGGATGCTCAGTTTGGTTATTGTTGGATGTATAACAGTACTACTGATTTGTGTACATTGATTTAGTATCCTAAGACTTTACTGAATTTATTTATCAGATCTAGGCATCTTTTAGAGTTGTCTTTAGGGTTCTCTGGGTATAAGATTATATAAATGGCAAAGAGAGGTTGACTTTCTCTTTTCCAATTTGAATGCCTTTTTCTTTCTTTTTCTTTGGGCCTAGACTTTAAAACAGGTTTTCTCAAGCTTGGCACTATGGCCATTTGGGGTTAAAAAATTATTTGCAGTGGCCGGGTGCGGTGGCTCATGCCTGTAATTCCAGCACTTTGGGAGGCCGAGGTGGGCAAATCATGAGGTCAGGAGATCGAGACCATCCTGGCTAACATGGTGAAACCCCGTCTCTACTAAAAAAAATTCAAAAAAATCAGCCAGGCATGGTGGCATGCGCCTGTAGTCCCAGCTACTCGGGAGGCTGAGGCAGGAGAATGGCATGAACCCGGGAGGCAGACCTTGCAATGAGCCGAGATCATGCCACTCCACTCCAGCCTGGGCAACAGAGCAAGACCCCATCTCAAAAAAAAAAAACAAAATTATTTGCAGTATTAGACTATCCTCTACATTGTAGGGTATCTAGCAGCACACCTGGCCTCTACTAACCAGATATCAGTTGCACTCTCTTTCCAGTTGTGACAACTAAAAGTTATCTCTAAACATTGTCAAATATCCTCAGGTGCAAAATATCATCCAGTTGAAAACCACTAATTTTAAAAGATTAGTGGCTTCTGCTTTCTTTTTAGTGGAACACTTAATGTGTGCTCTGGGGAAAGCCAGTCTGACTATCCTGAAATAATCATGCTATTAGGAAGCCCACATATGGAAAGAGATGCCTGCTTGTCCCTCAGCTATTCTGATTATCCCAGCCCAGATAACAGACATGTACATTAAAAAGCCATCCTGGATGGTCAGCCAGTAAAGTTTTATTTATTCATTTATTTATTTACTATTTTTAAGGATATTTTCAACTTTTGGGTACAAGGGGTACATGTGCAGGTTTTTTACATGGGTATACTGTGTGATGCTGAGGTTTGGGGCAAGGATCCTGTCACTTACATAGTGAGGATAGTACCAAAAAACTAATTTTTTTACCCGTGTCTTCCCTCCCTGCCTATTCCCTCTTGGAGTCCAGAGTGTCTATTGTTTCCATCTTTATGTCCATGAGTACCCAATGTTTATCTCTCACTTATAAATGAGAACATATGATATTGATTTTCTTTTCCTGCATTAATTAACTTAGGATGATGACCCCCAGTTGCATCCATGTTGCTGCAAAGAATATTATTTCATTCTTTTTCATGGCTACATAGTATTCCAAAGCCCTTGTGTACCATGTTTTCTTTATCCAATTCACCAGTGATGGGCACCTAGGCTGATTCATGTCTTTGCTATTGTGAATAGTGCTCTAAAGAATATACTAGTGTATGTTTCTTATTGATAGAACAATTTATTTTCTTTCGGGCATCTACCCACTAATATAATTACTGGGTCAAATAACAGCTCTGTTTTAAGTTCTTTGAGAAATATTCAAACTGCTTTCCACAGTGGCCAAACTAATTTACATTCTCACCAACAGTGTATAACTATTCCTTTTTCTCATTAGTCTCTCCAACATCTTATTTTTTTTTTTACTTTTTAGTAGTAGCCACTCTGAATGATTTGAAAAGGTATCTCATTGTGGTTTTCATTTGCATTCCTCTGATGATTAGTGATGTTGAGTTTTTCTCATGCATTTGTTTGCCACTTGTATGTTTTCTTTTGAAAAGTCCTTGTTCATGTCCTTCCCCCCCCTTTTTTTAAATGAAACTATTTGGTTGTATTTTGTTGATTTGTTTAAGTTTCTTATTGATTCTGAATATTAGACCTTTGTCAGATGCATAACTTGCAAATATATTTTTTCCATTCTATAGGTTGTCTGTTTACTCTGTTGATGGTTTCTTTTCCTGTACAGAAGCTCTTTATTTTAATTAAGTCCTACTTGTCAATTTTTGTTTTTGTTGCAATTGTTTCTGGGAACTTAGCCAATAATTTTTTTTGCCAAGGCTGAGGTCGAGAAGATTATTTCCTTGGTTTTCTTCTAGGGTTTTTATAGTATGTGTTCTTACATTTAAATAATTAATCCACCTTGAATTTATTTTTCTATGTTGGTAATCTGCTAGGTAGGTTAACAAAGAGAAACATGAGAAGATCCAGATAAGTTTAATCAGGAACAACAAAGGTGACATTACAACCAAACATTCAGAAATACAAAAGGTCCTCAGAGACTGTTATCAACAACTCTATGCACACAAATTTACAAATCTAGAGGGAATGCATAAATTCCTGAGAACACATAAGCTCCCAAGATTGTACCAGGAGAACATGAGAACCTGAAAAGACCAATAACAAGTTCTGAAATTGAAAAAGTAATTTAGAAAATTTATCAATCATAAACAACCCTTGATCAGATAGATTCACAGCTGAATTCTACCAGACATTCCAAAAAATTGAGGAGAAAGGACTCTTCCCTAACTCATTCTATGAAGCCAGCATCAGCCTGATGCCAAAATCTGAGAGAGATGCAATAACGAAAAAAGAAAACTTCAGGCCAATATCCCTGATGAACATAGATGCAAATTGCAAAAATCTTCAACAAAATACTAGCAAACCAAATACAACAGCAAACCAAAAAGCTAATCCAATGTGATCAAATAGTCTTTATTCCTGGGATGCAAAGCTGGTTCATCATACACAAATCAAGAAATGTGTATTCTTAGCAAACTATCGCAAGGACAGAAAACCAAACACCGTATGTTCTCACTCATAGATGGGAATTGAACAGTGAGAACACTTGGACACAGGAAGGGGAACATCACACACCGGGGTCTGTCGTCGGGTGGGGGGAGGGGGGAGGGATAGCATTAGGAGATATACCTAATGTAAATGACGAGTTAATGGGCGCAGCACACCAACATGGCACATGTATGCATATGTAACAAACCTGCACGTTGTGCACATGTACCCTAGAACTTAGAGTATAAAAAAAATTAAGAATAGGGGCCACATCTTATTCAACATTGCATCCCTAACCTCTAGCAGGCAATAAAATAAAACAAAATAGAATACACTATCAACTTGAATTAAAACCTCAGTGAGCTTCATCAAAACATTTAAAACAAACCTGCATTATTTCCAGTAGTAAACTTCCTTCCCTCTGCAATAAGCTGATTATTTCGTTGGTTGAACTAGATCTACAATGGGGTGGTGTGACAAACGGGGAATTGGGGAAGGGGAGGGAGGAGTGGGCGTGAGGTTACAATTGTTTTGTGTCGTCTTCCCCCTGCCCTCCACACCCCATGCCTAATCAACTAACCACTGTCATTGTCTAAGGTTTCAGGGCCAGAACCTCTTAAACAAGTTATTTAAGAAGTTAAGAAGTTGTCAAAAACATGACTTTCCTGCAGGTGAATTTGATGTTTTAGATTATAGAAATTGAAAGTGAGAGTAGGTAAAAAGAAGAATATAGTTCTTAAGGGAAAGAAAAGATTAAAACTATGCTCCTATTTTCCACAGTGAAGGTCATGTGTCCTTAAGGTATTTTAGTTAGCTTCACTTCTCATAACTGGTGATATTTATTTTGATAATTACAGTGTAGAAAGGTTTTTTTAAAGGGAACATTTTCTGACTCCTGTATTTATCTGAGTTATTATCTTTCTATGAGCTTAGTTATTGTTTGAGCCCGTGTCAGCCAAGTTTATTGGCAATTCCACTCTATTTGCCAACAACTTAAGAAGCACTCATTTTAAACTAAAGTACACCCCAATCCTTAGATGAAATCCTGCCTCAGGTTCATAACGCCAAATCAATAGAATCATTCAAATCCAAGGTTAACTCTTATCTTGGAACCAAGCTCATTCCTATTGATTAAACTTTTATTTTTGTCTCATTATGAAGAACAAAAGGACCTTGGAAGTGGCTGCAGAAAGAAAGGTGCAATGAACAATCCATTTATGTCCCTTTGCAACATCAAAGAAAAAAAAAAGAAATGTGATTCACCACACAAACAGAATTACAAGCAAAAGCCATATTATCATCACAATAGATGCAGAAAAAGCTTTCAATAAAAACCAAACTTCCTTTATGATAAAAACCCTCAACAGACTAGACATCGAGGAAACATACCTCAAAATAATAAGAGCCATCTATAACAAATCCACAGCCAACACAAATGCACAAAAACCGAAACCATTCACCTTGAGAACTGGAACAAAACAAGAATGTCCACTCTCACTACCCTACTCAACATAGTCCTGGAAGACCTAGCCAGAGCAATCAGGCAAGGGAAAAAATAAAAATAAAAAGTATCCGGCTAGAAAGTGAAGAAGTCAAACTATCTCTTTTCATGGACAATATGATTCTATAACTGGAAAACCCTAAATACTCCAATAAAAGGCTTCTAGAACTGATAAACGACTTCAGTACAGTTTCAGGATACAAAATCAATATTCAAAATCAGTAGCCTTTCTATACATGAATAACATTCAAAGTGAGAGTAAAGGACATAATTCCATTCAAAATAGCCAAAAATATTGAAATATGTATGAATGCAGCTAATCAAGGAAGTGAAAGATCTCTACAAGGAGAACTACAGAACACTTCAGAAAGAAATTAGAGTTGACACAAATAAATGGAAAAATATTCCATGCTAATGGGTTGGAAGAATCAATATCATTAAAATGACCATACTGTCCAAAGTAATTTTAGATTCAACATTATCTCCATCAAAATTCCAATGTCATTTTATACAGAATTAGCAAACAACTATCCTAAAACTCATATGTAACCAAAAAAGAGCCTAAATAGCCAGTAAAGTTTTAGATTATTCTAGCCCTATCTCCTGTCACCATTTAACTGTAACCACATGAAGGACTCCAAATGAGAAGCTGATTCTTGACAACCTATGGCTTTATTGCAATGGGTTAAAATTAAAATTTATTTTATTTTTATTTTAAGCAATTAAATTTTGGAATAGTTTGTTACAACATAGTAACTGGAATAGAAATTATCAAAGTAATAATGCAAGAACATTTATAAGATTAAAGTAATTAAAATTTTATATTAAAAGAATTCATCAATTACTTAGCACAATGATCTTTTCAAAAAGGAAGTATGCCAAGGGATACACAGTATCCAAAAACTTAAAACACGATGGATTAAAAGAGCAATCTAAAAGTGTACACATTTATATTCTCTTTCTGTCTCACACATGTCCCACAGAAATTAGGTTAAACAAAAGAGTGCCACAGGACTTCCCAACAAGACTAGAAGCTTGAAGATGAGTCATATCTTCAAAATTATGAGATAAAGTAATTTGTAGCCTAGATTTATATTTCTAGGCAATTTATCTATCAAGTATGGAAGAAAAATTAGAACATTTTCATAATGTAAAGCTTCAAAATTAATTTATCCTCTATGCACTCTTTCAGAAAAATAACAGAAAAAATATTTCATTATGTCAAGTGTGCAGACTTCATTTTGTCAAAAAAGCCTTCCTACACTGCCAGAATATCTCCTTTGAGAACTCTGCCATTTGGGATGGACAGCAATATGGTTGTTTACTGAAACTGAGGCAAACCTGGACTTAAGTCACCATCTAGTTATGAAAAGGAGGAAGCAACTTAGAGAAAAAAAAATATAGAAAAAAAAAGAAAATCAACAGATACATTACAAAGAATGTCTAAACAAACATATCCAATGAAAAGCGAAAAAAAAGACAGAAGATGGGTATAAATAATCAACCCTTCAATGCAAAAACATAGATGTAGACTCACAAGACACAACAGGAAACAAAGAACCATGACCTCCCCAAATGAACAAAACAAGGGACAAGTGACTGACCCTAATGAGATGGCAGTATGTGAACTCTGACCAATAATTTACAATATCAATTTAAAGGAAACTCAGTGATTTCCAAGATAGCACAGAAATGCTAACAACTGTGACTTCAGGAATACAAAGAGTGATTAGAAACTGTGATGAACAACTATATACCAACACATCAGGCAACCTAAAAGAAATAAATTCCGGGACACACTAAGATGGAACCATTAAGAAATAGAAAACCTTAACAAACCAATAATGATTAATGAGATTGCAGCTGTAATAAAAAGTCTTCCATTAAAGAAAAACCCAGGATCTGATGGCTTTACCACTGAATCCTAAAAACATTTAAAGAATAACTAATGCCAAGCCTACTCAAACTCTTCAAAAACGGTGAAGAGGAGAGAATACTTCCAAGCTCACTCTGTGATGCCAGCATTATCTTGATACCAAAACCAGACAAGAATGCAACAAAAAAGGAAAACAACAGGCCAATAAATATCACTTATAAACATAGATGCAAAATCCTCAGCAAAATACTAGCAAACTTTTTTTTAACTTTTAAGTTCAGGGGTACAAATGCAGGTTTGTTATATATGTAAACTATATAACAAATGCATTATTTGCAAATGTTTTCTCCCATCCTGTAGGTTGTCTGTTTACTCTGTAGATAGTTTCTTCTGCTGTGCGGAAGCTCTTCAGTTTAATTAGATCTCACTTGTCAATTTTTGATTTTGTTGCAATTGATACTAGCAAACTTAATTCAACAACACATTAGAAAAATAATTTGCCACGATCAAGTGGAATTAATCCCCAAGATGCAAAGGTGATTGAACACATGCAAACCAATAAATGTGATACATTATGTTAACAGAACCAAGGACAAAAACCATATGATCATTTTAATACAGGCTAAAAAAGCATTCAATATAAATTTAACATCTCTTAATGACAAAAGCTCTCAACAAACTGAGTATAGAAAAAAAGACATCTCAAAATAATAAAGGTCATATAGAAGAAACCCACAGCTAACATTGTTATTGTATTGAATGGATAAATATTAAAAGTGTTTCCTCTAAGATCTGGAACATGACAAAGATGGCCACTGTTACCACTGTTATTCAACATAGAACTAGAAGTCCAGGCCAGAGAAATTAGGCAAGAGAAAGAAATAAATGGTATCCAGTTGAAAAGGAAGACAGATCCTGATTTACTACTGAACTCTGGTGAAGACTGAATAAACTGAATGTTGAATATTGCTCTTCAGCTAACCACATGACCTGAATTACCCATTATTAATTATATGGAATCAGATCCACATAGCCAAAAAGTACTACTCCATTATCAAATGGAGGTGTTACATAAGATACTTACCCCAAGCAAGCCCTAAAGGCCCAAGTAAGTGACACACAGAGTTTGCTTACACTTTTTAGAATACTTGCTTCGGCCACACTGTTATCTCTCTCTTGATTTTCATCCATGCCCTTATGAAGTGTTCACCTAAGATGAGATTGTTTTCACATATATGGCTCTACATAATAATGCCTGTCAAAAGTTGACAGATGTGGCTTCATACACCCACTCAGGGGAAATAGAAAGACCAACAAAGAAAAGAAACCCTCACAATGGGCAGAGCTTTAAGCAATATGCCATTCTGTATACTTAGCCTAGGAGGAAATAACACCTAAGTTCAGAATATACACTAATTCATAAGCAGTGATTAATGGTCTGGCCACAAAAGTCAGAGATTTGGAAGGAATACAACTGGTGATAAGACTAATTGAGGAAGGGTCAGGGGGTTAACTTCTCCAAATAGGTTCAGAGTCATAGAATACTCAAGTTCCATATAAATGCTCATCTGAAAGTTAACTCTGCAGCAGAAGATTTTTAACAACCCAAAAGACAAGATGGCCTTTTCTGTAGACATCAATCTACCTTCTTCCTTGGTCAGTGCACCTCTAGTTCAAATAAGGTACCACTTCCCCAGCCAAAGTAGACATAGTGAGGAAAGTATCAGAGGGTGGGGAAGTTTCAATTTTCTAAGTCCTCTAAAGCCAAGTAAATATTGCTATTCCTTTTGTCAGGATCTTTTCTAAGTAATTCTCTAACTTCTATATAAAAAAACAAACAGGATTGATAGTTTAAATGGTATTTTAATTCAACTAACACAATCTGACTTGGAGTTTGATTGTTAGCAATCTCAGCCCTACAGCTTCAGGTAGTAACAAAAACACTCTGAAATTTCTGAAATTCATTGTTTTTTTTTTGAGGTGAAAATCTCAGGATTTAAGATTTTAGTTGTCTTGCATTAAATCATCCATACCATAAGAAGTAACCAAAATATTTTGGAGTTTCAGTGTTTCTCATTTTCTAGATATTATTCCATGACAAATGTCCTAGATGTTTGCTTTCAGTGAGTACTTGGTTTTAGGTCACTACATATAATAAACTAACTAGCTATTTTATTACTGCATGCCATGGGCTGGAATATAAATGGGTGTCTCACAATCTTATTCCTCATCTCAGCTAGATAAGCAATTTCAAATACTCTAAGTTTCCTTGAGATTCTGTTGCCTACAAGCTACTTTTTAGAACCAGTTTCTAGATCACTTTGTGTTATTTAGTTGAAAATAATAGAAATCAACTCTGGCTAACTTAAGCAAAAGAAGAATCTATTGTGAGGATAATGGGTCTCTCACAGAATCAAATAAGAATCTGAGAAACCATAGCAACATGCAATTTACCCATGTAACAAATCTGGACATGTACCTCTGAAATGAAAATACAAGTAGAGGAAAAAAGGAAAAGCTGAGCAACCAAACCTCAGCAAGTACAAGTACAAAGAAAGTTCCAAAGATTTACACAAGGCAATTAATATGGTATTTGCCATATAACAATGAAGACAATGTACACTCAAATCTAACTAACTTAATCCTTGTGACCTCCTACACAGCCAAATTTTCAGAATAGCAAGACTGATTGATCCAGTTTATCTAATGCACCCATGAGCAGCAGCTTTGAAACACTATGATTCACAGTCCCTTTAAGATCACACAGAAAGAGGAAAGGGCAATTCTGAAAATAAAAGCAGGATGCTGTTACCACAAAAAAAAAAAAGAGAGAAAAACAACACATACACACAACATTAACAATGACTCAAATGATAGTTCTGTATGTACAAAATATCAGAAGAATAAAGATGACAGGTAAAAAGACAAAAATCATTAATATATATTTCTTTTGTTAAGTTCACTGTCAAAAATTTAGGGTGAGGCAAACAATATGCTTCATCTTACTTGTTTTCTAATACAAATTTCATTGGGTTTTTTTTGAGTTCAGGGGTACATGAGCAAGTTTGTTATATGATTAAACTTTTGTCATGGGGGTTTGTTGTACAAATTATTTTGTTACACAGGTATTAAACCTGATACCTATTACTTATTTTTCCTGATCCTCTCCCTCCTCCCACCCTCCATCCTCCACCTTCGGATAGGCCCCATTGTGTGTTGTTCCCATCTATGTGTCCGTGTGTTCTCATCATTTAGCTCCCACTTACATGTGAGAACACAAGGTATTTGGTTTTCTGGCCTGTATTAGTTTGCTAGGGATAATGGCCTCCAGCTCCATCCATGTCCCTGCAAAGGACATGAACTCATTTTTATGGCTGCATAGTATTGCATGGTGTATATATACCACATTTTCTTTATCCAGTCTATGATTTATTTTTTAGTTTTTTAAATTATACTTTAAGGTCTAAGGTACATGTGCACAACAAGCAGGTTTGTCACATAGGTATACATGTGCCATGTTGGTTTGCTGCACCCATTAACTCGCCATTAATATTAGGTGTTTCTCCTAATGTTATCCCTCCCCCTGCCCCCCACCCGATGACAGGACCCGGGATGTGATGTTCCCTGCCCTGTGTCCAAGTGTGCTCATTGTTCAATTCCCACCTATGAGTGAGAACATGCAGTGTTTGGTTTTCTGTCCTTATGATAGTTTGCTCAGAATGATGCTTTCCAGTTGCACGCATGTCCCTGCAAAGGACAGGAACTCAATGTTTTTTATGGCTGCACGGTATTCCACGGTGTATATATGCCACATTTTCTTAACCCAGTCTATCATTGATGGACATTTGGGTTGGTTCCAAGTCTTTGCTATTGTTAATAGTGCCACAATAAACATACATGTGCATGTGTCTTTATAGTAGCATGATTTATAATCTTTTGGGTATATACCCAGTAATGGGACGGCAGGGTCAAATGGTATTTCTAGTTCTAGATCCTTAAGGAATCGCCACGCTGACTCCACAATGGTTGAACTAGTTTACACTCCCACCAACAATGTAAAAGCGTACCTATTTCTCCACATCCTCTCCAGTACCTGTTGTTTCCTGACTTTTTAATGATTGACATTCTAACTGGTGTGAGATGGTATCTCATTGTGGTTTTGATTTGCATTTCTCTGATGGCCAGTGATGATGAGCAATTCTTCATGTGTCTCTTGGCTGCATAAATGTCTGCTTTTGAGAAGTGTCTGTTCACTTCCTTTGCCCACTTTTTGATGGGGCTGTTTGTTTTTTTCTTGTAAATTTGTTTAAGTTCTTTGTAGATTCTGGATATTAGCCCTTTGTCAGATGGATAAATTGCAAAAATTTTCTCCCATTCTATAGGTTGCCTGTTCACTCTGATGGTAGTTTCTTTGCTGTGCAGAAGCTCTTTATTTTAATTAGATCCCATTTGTCAATTTTGGCTTCTGTTGCCATTGCTTTTGGTGATTTAGTCATGAAGTCCTTGCCCATGGGTATGTCCTGAATGGTAATGCCTAGGTTTTCTTCTAGGGTTTTTATGGTTTTAGGTCTAACATTTAAGCCTTTAATCCATCTTGAATTAATTTTTGTATAAGGTGTAAGGAAGCGATCCAGTTTCAGCTTTCTACATATGGCTAGCCAGTTTTCCCAGCTCCATTTATTAAATAGAGAATCGTTTCCCCATTTCTTGTTTTTGTCAGGTTTGTCAAGGATCAGATGGTTGTACATATGTGGTGTTATTTCTGAGGCCTCCGTTCTGTCCGATTGGTCTATATCTCTGTTTTGGTACCACTACCATGCTGTTTTGGTTACTGTAGCCTGTATTATAGTTTGAAGTCAGGTAGCATGATGCCTCCAGCTTTTTTCTTTTTGCTTAGGATTGTCTTGGCAATGCGGACTCTCTTTTGGTTCTATATGAACTTTAAAGTAGTTTTTTCCAATTCTGTGAAGAAAGTCATTGGTAGCTTGACGGGCATGGCATTGAATCTATAAATTACCTTGGGCAGTATGGCCATTTTCACGATATTGATTCTTCCTATCCATGAGCATGGAATGTTCTTCCATTTGTTTGTGTCCTCTTTTATTTCGTTGAGCAGTGGTTTGTAGTTCTCCTTGAAGAGGTCCTCCACATCCCTTGTAAGTTGGATTCCTAGGTATTTTATTCTCTTTTTAGCAATTGTGAATGGGAGTTCACTCATGATTTGGCTCTCTGTTTGTCTGTTATTGGTGTATAGGAATGCTTGTGATTTCTGCACATTGACTTTGTATCCTGAGACTTTGCTGAAGTTGCTTATCAGCTTAAGGAGGTTTTGGGCTGAGACAATGGGGTTTTCTAAAGATACAATCATGTCATCTGCCAACAAAGACAATTGAATTCCTCTTTTCCTAATTGAATACCCTTTATTTCTTTCTCTTGCCTGATTGCCCTGTCCAGAACTTCCAACACTATGTTGAATAGGAGTGGTGAGAGAGGGTATCCTTGTCTTGTGCCAGTTTTCAAAGGGAATGCGTCCAGTTATTGCCCATTCAGTATGATATTGGCTATGGGTTTGTCATAAATAACTCTTATTATTTTGAGATATGTTCCATCAACACCTAGTTTATTGAGAGTTTTTAGCATGAAGGACTGTTGAATTTTTTCAAAGGCCTTTTCTGCATCTATTGAGATAATCATATGGTTTTTGTTGTTCATTCTGTTTATGTGATGGATTATGTATATTGATCACCTATGTTGAACCAGCCTTGTATCCCAGGGATGAAGCCGACTTGATTGCGGTGGATAAGCTTTTTGATGTGCTGCTGGGTTCAGTTTGCCAGTATTTTATTGAGGATTTTCACATCGATTTTGATCAGGGATATTGGTCTAAAATTCTCTTTTTTTGTTGTGTCTCTGCCAAGCTTTGGTATCAGGATGATGCTGGTCTCATAAAATGATTTAGGGAGGATTCCATCTTTTTCCATTGATTGAAATAGTTTCAGAAGGAATGGTACCAGCTCCTCTTTGCAACTCTGGTAGAATTCAGCTGTGAGTCTGTCTGGTCCTGGAGTTTTTTTTTTTGGTTGGTAGGCTCTTAATTATTGCCTCAATTTCAGAGCCTGTTATTGGTCTATTCAGAGATTCAACTTCTTCCTTGTTTAGTCTTGAGAGGGTGTATGTGTCCAGGAATTTATCCATCTCTCCTAGATTTTATAGTTTATTTGCATAGAGGTGTTTATAGTATTCTCTGATGGTAGTTTGTATTTCTGTGGGATCTGTGGTGATATCCCCTTTATCATTTTTTATTGTGTCTATTTGAGTCTTCTCTCTTTTCTTCTTTATTAGTCTTGTTAGTGGTCTATCAATTTTGTTGATCTTTAAAAAAAAAACAGCTTCTGGATTCATTGATTTTTTGAAGGGTTTTTTGGTCTCTATTTCCTTCAGTTCTGCTCTGATCTTAGTTATTTCTTGCCTTCTGCTAGCTTTTTTTTTTATTGTTTCCTAATATTTATTTATTTATTTATTTATTTATTATACTTTAAATTCTAGGGTACATGTGCACATTGTGCAGGTTAGTTACATATGTATACATGTGCCATGCTGGTGCACTGCACCCACTAACTCGTCATCTAGCATTAGGTATATCTCCCAATGCTATCCCTCCCCCCTCCCCCCACCCCACAACAGTCCCCAGAGTGTGATATTCCCCTTCCTGTGTCCATGTGATCTCATTGTTCAATTCCCACCTATGAGTGAGAATATGCGGTGTTTGGTTTTTTGTTCTTGTGATAGTTTACTGAGAATGATGATTTCTAATTTCATCCATGTCCCTACAAAGGACATGAACTCATCATTTTTTATGGCTGCATAGTATTCCATGGTGTATATGTGCCACATTTTCTTAATCCAGTCTATCATTGTTGGACATTTGGGTTGGTTCCAAGTCTTTGCTATTGTGAATAATGCCGCAATAAACATACGTGTGCATGTGTCTTTATAGCAGCATGATTTATAGTCCTTTGGGTATATACCCAGTAATGGGATGGCTGGGTCAAATAGTATTTCCAGTTCTAGATCCCTGAGGAATCGCCACACTGACTTCCACAATGGTTGAACTAGTTTACAGTCCCACCAACAGTGTAAAAGTGTTCCTATTTCTCCACATCCTCTCCAGCACCTGTTGTTTCCTGACTTTTTAATGATTGCCATTCTAACTGGTGTGAGATGGTATCTCATTGTGGTTTTGATTTGCATTTCTCTGATGGCCAGTGATGATGAGCACTTTTTCATGTGTTTTTTGGCTGCATAAATGTCTTCTTTTGAGCTTTCTGCTAGCTTTTGAATTTGTTTGCTCTTGCTTCTCTAGTTCTTTTAATTGTGATGTTAGGGTGTCGATTTTAGATCTTTCCTGCTTTCTCTTGTGGGCATTTAGTGCTATAAATTTCCCTCTACACACTGCTTTAAATGTGTCCCAGAGATTCTGGTACGTTGTGTCTTTGTTCTCATTGCTTTCAAAGAACATCTTTATTTCTGCCTTCATTTTGTTATTTACCCAGTAGTCACTGAGACGCAGGTTGTTCAGTTTCCATGTAGTTGTGTGGTTTTGAGTAAGTTTCTTAATCTTGAGTTCTAATTTGATTGCACTGTGGTCTGAGAGACAGTTTCTTGTAATTTCTGTTCTTTTACATTTGCTGAAGAGTGCTTTACTTCCAACTATGTGGTCAATTTGTAATAAGTGCGATGTGGTGCTGAGAAGAATGTATATTCTGTTGATTTGGGGTGGAGAGTTCTGTAGATGTCTATTAGGTCTGCTTGGTGCAGAGCTGAGTTCAATTCCTGGATATCCTTGTTAACCTTCTGTCTTATTGATCTGTCTAATATTGACAGTGGGGTGTTAAAGTCTCCCATTATTATTGTGCAGGAGTCTAAGTCTCTTTGTAGATCTCTAAGGACTTGCTTTGTGAAGCTGGATGCTCCTGTATTGGGTGCATATATATTTAGGATAGTTAGCTCTTCTTGTTGAATTGATCCCTTTACCATTATGTAATGGCCTTCTTTGTCTCTTTTGATCTCTGTTGGTTTAAAGTCTGTCTTATCAGAGACTAGGATTGCAGCCCCTGCTTTTTTTTGTTTTGTTTTCCATTTGCTTGGTAGATCTTCCTCCATCCCTTTATTTTGAGCCTATGTGTGTCTCTGCACATGAGATAGGTCTCCTGAATACAGCACACTGATGGGTCTTGACTCGTTATCCAATTTGCCAGTCTGCCTCTTTTAATTGGGGCATTTGGCCCATTTACATTTAAGGTTAATATTGTTGTGTGTGAATTTGATCCTGTTATTATGATGTTAGCTGTTTATTTTGCCTGTTAGTTGATGCAGTTTCTTCATAGCCTCGATGGTCTTTACAATTTGGCATGTTTTTGCAGTGGTTGGTACTGGTTGTTCCTTTCCATGTTTAGTGCTTCCTTCAGGAGCTCTTGTAAGGCAGGCCTAGTGGTGACAAAATCTCTCAGCATTTGCTTGTCTGTAAAGAATTTTATTTCTCCTTCACTTATGAAGCTTGGTTTGGCTGGATATGAAATTCTGGGTTAAAAATTCTTTTCTTTAAGAATGTTGAATATTGGCCCCCACTTTCTTCTGGCTTGTAGGGTTTCTGCCGAGAGATCTGCTGTTAGTCTGATGGGCTTCCCTTTGTGGGTAGCCCAACCTTTCTCTCTGGCTGCCCTTAACATTTTCTCCTTGATTTCAACCTTGGTGAATCTGACAATTATGTGTCTTGGGGTTGCTCTTCTCGAGGAGTATCTTTGTGGTGTTCTCTGTATTTCCTGAATTTGAATGTTGGCCTGCCTTGCTAGGTTGTGGAAGTTCTCCTAGATCATATCCTGAAGAGTGTTTTCCAACTTGGTTCCATTCTCCCCATCACTTTCAGGTACACCAATCAAATATAGATTTGGTCTTTTCACATAGTCCCATATTTCTTGGAGGCTTTGTTGATTTATTTTTACTCTTTTTTCTCTATGCTTCTCTTCTCTCTTTATTTCATTAATTTGATCTTCAATCACTGATACCCTTCCTTCCACTTGATCAAATCGGCTCTTGAAGCTTGTGTGTATATCACGTAGTTCTTGTGCCATGGTTTTCAGCTCCATCATGTCATTTAAGGTCTTATCTACACTGTTTATTCTAGTTAGCCATTTGTTTAATATTTTTTCGAGGTTTTTAGCTTCCTTGCAATGGGTTTGAACATCCTCCTTTAGCTCGGAGAAGTTTCTTAGTACCAAGCTTCTGAAGCCTACTTCTGTCAGCTCATCAAAGTCATTCTCCTTCCAGCTTTGTTCCACTGTTGGTGAGAAGCTGCAATCCTTTAGAGGAGAAGAGGGTCTCCGGTTTTTAGAATTTTCAGCTTTTCTTCTCTGGTTTCTCCCTATCTTTGTGGTTTTATCTACCTTTGGTCTTTCATGTTGGTGACCTACAGATGGAGTTTCAGTGTGGATTTCCTTCTTGTTGATGTTGATGGTATTCTTTTCTGTTTGTTAGTTTTCCTTTTAACAGTCAGGTCCCTCAGCTGCAGGTCTGTTGGAATTTACTGGAGGTCCACTCCAGACCCTGTTTGCCTGGGTATCACAGCGAAGGCTGCAGAACAGCAAATATTGCTGCCTGATCCTTCCTCTGGAAGCTTCGTCCCAGATAGGCACCAGCCTGTATGAGGTGTCAGTTGGCCCCTACTAGGAGGTGTCTCCCAGTTAGGTTACACGGGGTTCAGGGACCCACTGGAGGAGGCAGTCTGTCCATTCTCTGAGCTTAAACACCATGCTGGGACGTTTAAGTCCACAGAAGTTTCTGCTGCCTTTTGTTCAGCTATGCCCTGCCCACAGATGTGGAGACTACAGAGGCAGCTGGCCTTGCTCTGCTGTGGTGGGCTCTGCCCAGTTCAAGCTTCCCTGGTCGCTTTGTTTACCTACTCAAGACTCAGCATTGGTGGATGCCCCTGCCCCTGCCAGGCTGCTGCCTCGCAGGTTGGTCTCAGGCTGCTGCACTAGCAGTAAGCAAGGCTCCTTGGGTTTGGGATCTGCCGAGCCAGGTGGAGATATAATCTCCTGGTGTGCCGTTTGCTAAGACCATTGGAAAAGTGCAATATTTGGGTGGGAGTGTCCCGTTTTTCCAGGTACTGTCTGTCATGGCTTCCCTTGGCTAGGAAAGGGAAATACCCCGACTCCTTGTGCATTCTGGGTGAGGCGATGCCCCACCCTGCTTCGGCTCACCCTCCATGGGCTGCACCCACTGCCCAACCAGTCCCAATGAGATGAACCAGGTACCTCAGTTGGAAATGCAAAAATCACCCATCTTCTGTGTCAATCATGCTGAGAGATGCAGTCCAGAGCTGTTCCTATTCGGCCATCTTGTAATGGACCCTAACCAGTCTATGACTGATGGACATTTAGGTTGATTCCATGTATTTGCTATTGTGAATAGTGTTGCAATGAATATACGTGTGCATGTAACTTTATGGTAGGACAATTTATATTTCTTAGTGTATATACCCAGTAATGGGATTGCTGAGTCTAATGGTATTTCTGTTTTTAGGTCTTTGAGGAATTGCCACACTGTCTTCCAGAATGATTGACTAATTTATCCTTCTACCAATAGTGCATAAGCATTCCTTTTTCTCTGCAATTTAGCCAGCATCTGTTATTTATCAACTTTTTAATAGCTATTCTAACTGGTAAGAAATGGCATCTCATTGTAGATTCAGTTTTCTTATTATTATTTCATTCTTTGATTTAATTTGGTTGTAAGATAAGAAAATTTGTTTATGTTTGTTTGTATTTATGTAACATGATGATAATAAAAATCATTTATGCTAACTCTGAGGATCTGTGAAAACTTGTTTTTTTTTAAAGTGGTCCATTTTAAGAGCCTTATACAAAAAAAAAAATCTGGATCCATATCTCTATATAAAAAACTAACTCAAGATGGATTAAAGACTTAAATGTAAGACCTGTGAACATCCTAGAAGAAAACCTAGGAAAATGCCTTCTAAACATTGGCTTAGGCAAAGAATTTATGACCTATTCCTCAAAGGCAAATGCAATATAAACAAATGAGATTTGATTAAATTAAAAAGCTTCTGCATAGCAAAATAAAACAATAAATAGAGCAAACAGATAACCTTCAGAATGGGAGAAAACATTTGCATACTCTGCATCTGACAACTCAACAAGAGTAAAACAGATAACCCTATTAAAAAGCAGGCAAAAGATATGAACAGACATTTTCCTAAAAAAGACATACAAGTGGCATACAAGCATTTGTAAAACTTCTCAATGTAACTAATCATCATAGAAATGCAAATCAAAACCACAATGAGGTGTCATCTCACACCAACCAGAAAGGCAGTTATTGAAAAGTAAAAAACCAACAGATGTTGGTGAGGATGTGGAGAAAAGGGAACTCATACACTAAAGGTGGATATGTAAATTAGTACCACTTCTATGAAAAACAGCATGGAGATTTCTCAAAGAACTAAAAATATAACTACCAGTTGATACAACATTCCCACTATTGAGTATCTGCCCAAAGGAAAAAAATCATTATATCAAAAAGATACCTGTACTCATATTTTATTACAAAACTATTCACAATAGCAGAGATATGGATTCATCCTAAGTGTGTATTAATAGATGATTAGATAAAGAAAATTATATATATATGTATATATATGTGTGTGTGTATATATATATATATATACACACACACACATATCTCACAGACCATTACACACACATACACACACACACACTCACACATCATGGCATACTACCCTGCTGTATTAAATAATGAAATAATGTCCTTTTCAGCAACATAAATGAAGCTGGAGGTCCTTCTCCTAAGTGAAACAACTCAGAAACAGAAAGTCAGCTACTGCATGTTCTCACTTGTAAGTGGAAGCTAAACAAAGGGTTCATATGGACACACAGAGTGGAATAATAGACATTGGAGGCTACAAAGCAGGGCGGGTGGGAGGGGCTGAGGGTTAAGAGATTAACTGTTGAGCACAATGTATACAATATTCAAATGTATTCAATTTGAATATTTTAGCTATGCTATTTTACTTTTCATATATATTTTAGAGTAAGCTTCTCAATGTCTACCAAAAATCTTTCATAGACTTTGATAGGCATTACATTAAACCTATGGATCAATTTGAGGAGAATTGAGAATTGACATATTTACTATGTTGAGTCTTCCAATTTATAAACACAATATGCTTCTCCATTTATATTATTTCTTTCATTAGCATTTTGTAATTTTTATCACACAGATCTTATATATATATTTTACTATATTAATACTCTATTTTTTTATCTTTGGAATCAATGTAAACAGTATTTTTAATTTCGGTTTTCATGTTCATTGCTAGTGTAGATAATCTGCTTTATCTACACTAAATGATTAATTATTATGTGATATCCTTTCAATGCAACATACTTTAATACCTAGAATGTATTCATCCTAGAGGGCACCTATTCAGGTGTAATAGCACTATTTTGCTCTCTTACATCATTTGCTTAAACATTTCATAAATGTTTATGTAGGAGATAAATGGAAAAACAAAGATAAAGGTTGCTCCTAATAAATGTATAAGTATTCTGAAAATAAACAGATTTTCCACGAGACACATGCTCACAGGATTAAACATTTTCAAACAGTTTCATCTTTTCACATGATTATGCATACAAAATATTTGCTTAAATGTGCATAAAAAGTCAATGTTCTATTCATGTTCATCATCCAATTTTAAAATATTTTTAATCATTTGTTTGACAAGGCACAATTATGGGTGGGTTTGTTTGCTTTCACTGATGAGTAAATTTGAAATTATTAGGTTTTAGAGATAATTATTTTTGAAATATCTAAACAGAAAGGAAAAAACTTGAATATATTTGAAACATCAAAATATTCACTAAATTCTGTGTAATTGCATATTTATCTTATATGTAATGTTTAACCCACTGAATATGGCATCTTATTTTAATAAGTTTTCAGAATAAAATCAGTATGAGAATACACAACTCAAAGGTGTTTAAAGTTTCATGAGTTCTGGAATACATCCATTAGATTTCAATTTTATATTTAGACCTTTTTTTACATTTTATTTTTTAAAAGAGAGGGTCTCATTTAGTCACACAGGCTAGAGTGCAGTGGTACAATCATAGCTCATTGCAGCCTCAAACTCCTGGGCTCAAGCAATCCTGCTGCCTCAGCTTCTGAAGTGGCTAAGACTACAGGCATGTGCCACCATGCCTGGCTAATTTTTTTTATTTTTATTTTTGGTAGAGATGGGCTCTTGCTGTGCTGCCCAGGGTGGTCTCAAACTTCTGAGCTCAAGCAATTCTCCTGCCTCATCCTCCCAAAGCAGCGGGATTACAGGTGTAAGCTACCATGCCCAACCAACTTAGAGATGGACTTTTACAGCTATAAAGAAAATGGAGGATATTTAGTTCAATAGTCTTATTTTACATATAAGAAAACTGAGGTCCACAGAGTGTAAGTAGATTATCCAAGATTCTACAGCTCTTAAATGGCAGCATTGGGGACTTGCACCTAGAAATTTTGATTCCTAGTGTATTAGTCTGTTTTCATGCTGCTTATAAAGACATACCTGAGACTGGGAAGAAAAAATCGTTTAATTGGACTTACAGTTCCACATGGCTGGGGAAGCCTCAGAATCATGGTGGGAGATGAAAGGCACTTCTCACATGGTGGCGGCAAGAGAAAATGAGAAAGATGCAAAAGCAAAACCCCTGATAAAACCATCAGATCTTGTGAGTCTTATTCACTACCTGAGAACAGTATGGGGTACCCCCATGATTCAAATTATCTCTTACTGGGTCCCTCCTACAACACATAGGAATTATGGGAGTACAATTCAAGATGTGATTTGCGTGGGGACACAGAGCCAAACCATATCACCCAGTCCACCATTCTCTCAATTAGCTACAATTGGGATGAATAAATGATTCATCAAATATTCAATCAAATCTTGGCTTATTCTATCAAAACAATCATTTCCCACACAATTGTATGCATCAGGTAATCCATTTGATTCACTAACTGGCAAGTGTACTAGAGTGGCCATCCTTCAATCAAGTATTTTCATAAAACAAACACTAGCTTTTAATTCATTACATGCCAGGTGTTTTAACTAAAGTTTCAGAGAGATTATCTAACTTCAGAGTGAAGTAGATAAATGAAGTTATTTTTCTCACTAATTTAGAGAGAATACTCTTTATCTGAAATAGTCATAATTGAGGCAAGCATTTCTCTCAATCCAAAATAGTCAATGGCTAGAATGCCTCACTTCTGTCATTTATGCAAGTCTGGAAACTGATGACTACTATCTGTCCAATAATAAAATGATGGGTCTTCTCTAATCAGAAAATGAGATAATATGCCATCTATCTGAGTTTTTAAATTGTTATGTAGATTTAATATTTATTCATAAAGACATTTCACAGAGTTTCTTACTATTTTAAAATTAGATATCATGCTGGGAAGCCACTGCAACACACTGCTATAAGAAGATGAGGAAATGATTTTCAGCATTGAAAAATAATCTGTTGACAAACCAGATTTTTTTTTTTTTAGACAGAATATTGCTCTGTAACCCAGGCTGGAGTGCAGTGGCTCAAGCTCAGCTCACTGCAACCTCTGCCTCCCAGGTTCAAGCAATTCTCCTGCCTCAGCCTCCTGAGTAGCTGGGATTACAGGCACGTGCCACCACGCCCAGCTAATTTTTGTATTTTTAGTAGAGATGGGGTTTCACCATGTTGGTCAGGCTGGTCTCGAACTCCTGACCTCATGATCCGCCTGTCTCAGCCTCCCAAAGTGCTGAGATTACAGGCATGAGCCACCGTGCCCAGCTGACAAGCCAGATTTAAATAGAACTTTCATGCTTGAAGGCAAAGAAAACTGAATAGAACTGGAGGCCATCGTCCTAAGCAAACTAACGAAGAAACAGAAAACGAAATAATGCATGTTCTCCCTTAAAAGTGGGAGCTAAACAATGACAACACATAGATTCTAGGAAGGAAAAACAGACACTGGGGCCTACTTGAAGGTGGAGGGTGGGAGCAGGGAGAGGATATGTTGATGGGCATCTAGGATGATTCCATGTTTTGCTACTGTGAATAGTGGTATGATGAGCACATGCATGCATGTGTCTTTTGAATTAAAAGGTAGTTCTGTTTTAAGTCTTTGAAAAATCACCAAACTGCTTTTCACAGTGGCTGAGCTAATTTACATTCCTACCAACAGTGTATAAGCATTCCATTTTCTCTACAACCACACCAGCATCTGTTATTATTATTATTGTTGTTGAACTTTCTAATAATAGCCATTCTGACTGGTGCAAGATGGTACCACTTGGTGGTTTTGATTTGCATTTCTGTAATCATTAGTGATGTTAAGCATTGTTTCATATGCTTGTGAGCCACATGTATGTTGTCTTTTGAAAAGTGTCTGTTCATGTCCTTTGCCTACTTTTTAATGGTTTTCTTTTTTTCTGTTTTTTAAACTTTTATTTTAGGTTCAGAGGTACATGCACAGGTTTGTTATATAGGTAAACTGCATGTTACAGTGGTTTGGTGTAGAGATAATTTTGTCACCTGGATAACAAGAACAGTACCTGATAAGTATTGTTCCTTATCCTCTTTCTCCTTACACCTTACACGCTCACCTCAAATCAGCCCCAGTGTATGTCGTTCCCTTCCTAGAATCCATGTGTTCTCATTGTTTAGCTCCTACTTGTAAGAATATGCAGTATTTAGTTTTCTGTTTCTGCATCAGTTTGCTTAAAATAATGGCCTCCAGCTCTATCCATGTTGCTGCAAGGAACATGATACCATTTTTTATAACTGTATAGTATTCCATGGTGTATATGTACCACATTTTCTTTATCCAGTCTACCATTGATGGGTATTTAGGTTGTTTCCATGTCTTTGTTATTGTAAATAGTGAATTTCAAAGAATGTCTTGATTTCTACCTTGATTTCATTGTTTACTCAGAAGTCATTCAGAAGCAGATTGTTTTATTTCTATGTAATTGAATGGTTTTGAGAAGTTTGCTTAGTATTTATTTCTATTTTTATTGCACTGTAGTTGAAGAGTGTGTTTGTTACGTGATATAGTTTGGATCTGGGTCCCCACCCAAATCTCATGTTGAAATATATACCCCAATGTTGGAGGTGAGGCCTGGTGAGAGGTGATTGGCTCAGGGGGGTGGATCCTTCATGAATGGTTTAGCACGATCCCTTTGGTGCTGCTCTTGTAATAGAGTTCTCATGAGATCTGGTTATTTAAAAGTGAGTGGCACCTTCTTTCTCCCTCTCTTGGTCCTGCTCTTGCCACATAAGATGCCTCCTCCTGCTTTGCCTTCCACCATGAGTAAAAGCTTCCTAAGGCCTTCCCAGAACCAGATGTTGCTATGCTTCTTGTACAGCCTGTGGAACCATGAGCCAATAAAACCTTTTTTTTAATAAATTACCCAGTCTCCGGTATTCCTTTATAGCAGTGTAATAATGGACTAATACAGTATCTTTTCAGTTTTTTAAATTTTCTGAGAGTTGTTTTATGGTGAATTGTGTGGTCGATTTTAAAGTATGAGCCATGTGTTGTAGATGAGAAGAATGTATATTCTGTTGTTTTGGGGTGGTGAGATCTGTAGATGTCTGTTAGGTTTATTTGGTGAAGTGTATAGTTGAGGTCCTGAATATTTTTGTTAGTTTTCTGCCTCAGTGATCTGTCTTATAGTGCCAATGGGATGTTGAAGTCTCTCACTATTACTGCAGGGTGATCTAAGTCTCTTCATAGGTCTCTAAGAACTTGTTTTATGAGTACAGGTCCTCCTGTGTTAGGTGCATATATATTTAAGATAGTAAGGTCTTCTTGTTGAATTGAATCTGTTATCATTATGTAATGTCCTTCTTTGTCAGTTTTGATCATTGTTAGTTCAAAGTCTGTTCTGTCTGAAATTAGAATAGCAACCCTTGCTTTTTTCTGTTTTCTGCTTCCTTGGTATACTTTCTCCATTCCTTTACTTTATGCCTATGGGTGTCATTGCATGTGAGATGGATCTCTGGAAGACAGCATATAGTTGAGTCTTGCTTCTTTACCCAACTTGCCACTCTTGTGTTTTTAATTGAAGCATTTAGCCTATTTATATTCAAAGTTACTATTAATACATTGGATTTAATTCTGTCATCGTGTTGTTAGTTGGTTGTTATGCAGGCTTGTGTGGTTGTTTTATAGTATAAATGGTCTATGTACTTAAATATGTTTTTGTGGTGGCCAGTAATGGTCTTCTGTTTTTATATTTAGCACTCCCTTAAGGACCTCTTGTAGGGCAGATCTGATACTAATGAATTCCCTTAGCATTTACTTTTCTGAAAAAGTCTGATTACTTTTTCATTTATGACACATAGTTTGGCTGGGTATGACAATCTTTCTTGAAGTTTATTTTCTTTAAGTATGCTGAATATAAGCCGCCAATCTGTTCTGGCATTTGAAGTTTCTGAAAGTTTGCTGTTAGCCTGATGGGGCTCCTTTTGTAGGTGACTTGCCCCTTCTCTCTAACTGCCTTTAATATTTTTCTTTTATTTCAACCTTAGAGAATATGACAACTCTTTGTGCTGGAAATGGTCATCTTATATTATATCTTGTAGGGGTTCTCTGCATTTCCTGAATTTGAGTTGGCCTCTCTAGTGAGGTTGTAGAAATTTTTGCTGATGATATCATCCAATATGTTTTTCAAGTTGCTTGCTTTCTCCTCTTCTCTTTGAGGGACACCAATGGGTCATAAATTTGATCTCAAATAATCCAATATTTTTTGAAATTTTGTGAATTTTTAAAAATTACTTTTCTTTATTCTTTTTCTGAGTTAATTTGAGGAATCAGTCTTTGAGCTCTTACATTTTTTCCTCAGCTTAGTCTATTCTGCTGTTAATACTTATAATTACATTGTAAACTTATTATCATGTGTTTTTCAGCTCTATCCGATCAGTTTTGTTCTTTCTTAAAATGGCCATATTATCTTTTATCTCTTGTATCATATTTTTTTTTTTTGATTTGTTGAATTGTGTTTCAACTTTCTCTTGAATGTTGATGGTCTTCTTTCCTATCTATGTTCTGAATTCAATTTTTGATATTTCATCCATTTTACCCTAGTCAAGAACTATTGCTGGATAACTAGTGTGGTCCCTTGGTGGTAATCAGACACTCTGGCTTTTAGAGTTGTCAACATTCTTGCATTGGTTAATTCTCATCTTTGCAGGCTGATGTTGCTTTAAGTTTTGAAATTCCTTTCTTTTGGATGGGTTTATTTGCTTTTATCATCTTTGATGCTCTTATGGTTCTGATTTTGGTATAAGGTAGGTTCAGTCTACTGGCCTTGATTTTAGAAGACTTCAAGGGGCCAAGTTTCTGTTCAGCATTTCTGGGATTCATACTCTAATTTTGGTGTCAGGTATGAGGCCCACAAGATTATTCTCTGTCCCCTTGAGCTTAGGAACCTACTACACTGGAGGGGCCAAGGTATTGCCTGTCTGCCGGCCACAACACTCCCATGGTGGGGGTGCTGGCCAAAGCGCTTCATTGGGGTGGTGGTAGTGAAATCTCTATGCTTGATCACAGCAGGTTACATGTGCCTCAGCTGGGGTAGTGCATCAGTGGGAGAATATGGTGGCATCTCTGCATGCATTCATGCTGGCAGCAGTGGTGTGGTGAGAGGGGGGCACCAGTTGGGGCAAGGTTTCAACATCTGTGCATGCACTTGCACTAATAGCCATGGCAGCGGGTGGGGTTGGGCCATGGGTGTGTACATGCTGTTAAAGTGGTGGTGGTGGGGGGCTGCAACAGGGAGAGGTTGCAGGTGGACTTGTCATATCAGCAGGGGCTGATTTGTTGGTGCTCTCTGAGGGGTAGGCATGGTCTGTCAGTGAAGGAACTATGATGAGGCCCCCCTGCAAGCACCGTGGTTGGGCATCTGAGGCTGTGCTGCAAGTGAGTGTGACTAGGCTGTGACCGCAGGAGAGGCTGGCTGACAGGGGGTTGATCAGATTGGACTGGCTCTCTCCCACAGGGAAGATTACACTACTCTGTGTAGGCCCAACAGTCATCCAAAGGGTAAAGCCACATTGAGGAGTTGGCAAGCCTCAGATGATGAACAACACTGGCCATGTTCCACTTCAGCCATTCCTGTGCCAAATCCTCTGATCTCTACACAGACTGGAGTCCTCTTTTTGCCACCGCTCTAAGCAACTCTCCTTGCCAGCTGAAGTGTCTGTGGTCATGAGGTGTCCTGTAGGTAGGATTCCAGAGGTCTGTGGTGAAACCAGGCCGCTGCTCACCTGTTCAACTTACTCCTTCCCCAGGAGTCACTGGGGGCCAGGAGTAGGTGATAGTGCTGGACAGACAGGTGCAGGGTTCCCAGCTGCCTCCACCTTCAGTCTAGTGTCTGTGTCCTCTCCCCATTCACCCTCAATGCCTTCCCTTCAATGATCTGCTCAAAGTGTGCCAGTTTTCCCAATGACCCAGTCTCCCAGTGGCTCTCATAGCTGCATCTAGTCAGACATCTTGTCTCTCTCTGCCTGATTTTAGTAATTTTCTAGAAAAGCAAATTAAATATTTTCTGATTTTGCAAATTGTTAAAAATCAGACAGGTAGCTTAATGAAAATAAGCACAATCTCTATACATCTCCAAGGACTATTACACTGGGTATTCAAAATGCCTAAGGATCACTGCCTTATAACTTTTTCCCACAATCCTAGAAAATATGTGTTTGTTACCATTGCACTACTGTTTTATATCCTCTGAAAGTAGTGAAAACACAGGGTACTTCTTACCTCTATTTTAAGTTTCTTTTATTTTCTTTCCTATATATTGTAATTTTAATTGTCTTAAAATATGTGTGAAAAGTAGATAAATGCAAATCAAAACGTCAATGAGATACCATCTCACGCCAGTTAGAATGGCGATCATTAAAAAGTCAGGAAACAACAGATGCTGGCAAGGCTGTGGAGAAATAGGAACACTTTTATACTGTTGGTGGAGGTGTAAATTAGTTCAATCATTGTGGGAGACAGTGTGGCGATTCCCCAAGGATCTAGAACTAGAAATACCATTTGACCCAGCAATCCCATTACTGGGTATATATCAAAAGGATTATAAATCATTCTACTATAAAGATACATGCACACATGTGTTTACTGCAGCACTATTCACAATAGCAAAGACTTGGAACCAACTAAAATGCCCATCAATGATAGACTGGATAAAGAAAATGTGGCACATATACACCATGGAATAATATGCAGCCATAAAAAAGGATGAGTTCATGTCCTTTGCAGGGACATGAATGAAGCTGGAAACCATCATTTTCAGCAAACTAACACAGGAACAGAAAACCAAACACCACATGTTCTCACTCATAAGTGGGAGTTGAACAGTGAGACCACATGAGCACAGGGAAGGGAACATCACACACCAGGGCCTGCTGGGGGTGAGGGGCAAGAGGAAGGATAGCATTAGGAGAAATACCTAATGTAGATGACAGGTTGATGGGTGCAGCAAACCACCATGGCACATGTATACCTATGTAACAAACCTGAACATTCTGCACATGTATCCCAGAACTTAAATTATATTTTTAAAGAAGTGTCAATTCTTTACAATTCTATTTTTTTGGAAGTTTTGTCTTAACTTTGGGGGAGGAAACCAACAATATTAAATAACTATATAAGTATGTATAATATATGCATAAACACATCATCATCATTATCATCATTACCATCAGTGAAAAAAGGTCTTATGAGGGGCTTGAAATCTTTAAAACTCAACACACTCGGTTTTGAGATAAACAAACTGAGGCCCAAAGAGGAAGACCTGTTGAAGGTAAAAGAAACAGCAGATGTCAGAGTCTGGACTAGCATTCAGCATTTCCACTGCAAAGTATAGCAGTCCTGAACAGCCACTCAAAGTATTCCCAATGATTTTTAATATTTGCTCAAACAACTATGGACAGGCTTTGAATAAAGCCTATATAGACATATTTATTTAAATTATCCCCCATATGACTTAATCCACAGGAACTTTTTTTTAATCCTTGGCAAACTGTGGATTAGCTAAAAGGAACAGAATGCATTTAACAATTTCAAGGCTGATAACTCAGGTAGAAAGGAAATAAAAATTCATACAGTGTCTGATAACCCAGGTAGAAAGGAAACAAAATTCATACAGTGTCTTAGCAATATGATGTGGGAGTAGGTCGGTCTAAAAATGAAGCTGCAAATCAAGCACATGAGAATAAAATTGGCTTCACTAATAAGAGAACAAAGGAAGCCACAGGTGATAATGTTATAAGACAAATGGAATGCTACAGAATGCTATGTACGCTCTATGGGAATCACTCAGTAAAAGCATGTCATTATTGGTTGAAAGCCAATTAGAAGTATGAAGCAAAGCATGATTACTGTTGCTATGTTTGTATCCAAGCAGAAATACATTATGATTACACAAATAAAAAAGTATACCAAATTAGTGCAAAAAAATGGAGGCTAAGTTTTCCAACTATCAGCTTTACTGAGCACATGAAATTAAACATCAATCTTCTCTCAAAATGCCAGACAGCGTTCTTTCTTCCCCAATATACTGGGCCAGCCTGCTCCACTGTGTTTATAAAATAAACTAATTTTAATATTTTCTAAGACAAATGTAAAATAATAAATAATCATATATACACTCATTTAATTCAAGAAAATATTATCAACTATGTGCCAGAGATTGTACAAAGAACTGGGACATATTGGTATAAATGATAACATGTTCAAAAGCTACATATAAATGACATGAAGACTATCTTTTGTTCCTCAAACAGGATGGATTTGAATCCCAGTTCTGCCCCTTACTAACTGAGTGGCACTGGATAAGTCATTTACTTACTGTGAATCATAGTTCCATCAACTGTAAAATGGGAATACTAATAACAACCTTTTAAGAAAATTATGAGAATTAAATTAGATAACATATGAAAAGTGCCTAACATGGTGCTTGGTACACTGTGGAAAATTAAATGCTAGCAAAAATGTTCTAAATGAAATGACCTGATGTTGTTGTGTTATTTCTTTACAGGTTTCTTAAGGCTAAGCATGAGTGAGGAATGTGCCAAATGTTTTATTACTATTATTATTATTTTAATTTTTGTGGGTACATGTCCAAAAGAAAGGAAATGAATATATCAAAAAGATATCTACATTCCTTTGTTTGCTGCAGCACTATTTACAATACCTAAGATTTGGAATGTGTCAAGACTTGATGAAATATTTTTTTTTTGCCAAGATGATGATTTTAGCCTCCTCTCAGCAGATCATTACGTCTATATTCATTCCCACTTTAATATAAGTGTATTTATTCACATAAAAACTTTGTTCTCAATGTTCTTTGTGCCCTCTGTACTCAAAGCCTGCTTAACAATAGTAGTCATCACTGGATAGTAATTTATTATTTTATAATTTTCACATGGTAATGGCTAGAGATAAGTTTTGCTGTTGTTTAACTGGATGTAAATTATAGACATCCTAAGTATAATTATTAATTGTTATTTGTGTTGACAGTGGATGTTGTAAAAGAGATTCACATAGGAATCGAGGTATTAGATTAGAAGTTCTCTATAAGCTGCTCTGATAGTATGATATCATCGAACAGTTGCACTGTATCAAGATATATAAAGAGGTCTTTAGACAGCCAAAGACATCTTGATATTTTTTATTTTAAAAACTAAATTTAATAATTTGCCTATAGATGGTGGTAATATCTGTGCATTCTTATATCATGCTACTTTAATTAGTTTACCATTTTGGCTAAAAGAGAAGCATTATAGGATAAGTTAAAACTTGAGAAGAACCACCATACTAGAAGAAACTAGCAAGATGCTCTTTTTGAATTTGCATGCATGCATATTCATTTGACACTGATACAAAGCACTGTGTACTCATAGACACATAGTAGGACATTTCACAAACGTTGAAGTTAGATAAGCAATTGCAGTGAATACTGTGCACTTAATACATATAAACTCAAGATTATATATATATGTATATATACCAAATTATTTCATTTATCAAATTATAGAATTACACATATTATATATTAAGATATTCACATATTTAGAGTTAAGAAAATACAATGTATTCCTTTAACTATTCATTCTTCCACGTAGTGCTTTTCTCCTTAGAGAATACATAATAAATCTATGAATTCTGACAAGGCGTTAAAGATTACAAAAGTCCAGAAGGGGCCTTTTTTCATGATTTGTCCTTTCTTTGAGAAGAATTTCCCTATGGGGGCTTACATTTCAATTGATTTTATATGCAGCCCACAAATATCAAATAAGAAACTACCCAATACACTGAATAGAAGAAGAGGGAGAAAGGAGACTTAACAGGAGGAAAGTTGGAAGCATAAAGAGAAGAGATTTAAAAAGCTAACACTGTAGTCAGTTTCCTACAGATAAAAAAATCAAGAGCTTCTCCTTTATACAGTGTTTTTCAGCTTTTTGAAAATTAATGGGCAAAGCAATAAAAATCATGATTGAAACAGTATTTATGGGCCTGACACAGTGGTCTGTTCTGCTGGAGTCAGAAAGATACAGAAAATTTTAGCTGAACAAGACTTACAAGGTAATCTAGTCCAGCAATTCTGAAACATTTGCTCTCAGGACTTCTTTACATTCAAAACTTATTGAGAAGCTCAAAGAGCTTTTGTTTAAAACTGATAATAACTTTTCAGTCAATATGAATTTATTTAAAAATAGTAACAAAAATCCATTATATGGTAATATGTATAAAATTTTATGAAAAATATTTATATATCTAAAAACAGTAAGAAGAGTGATATTGTTTCTAATTTTGCAAATCCCCTTAATGTTTAGCTTAATAGAGGACAGCTAGGTTCTCAATCTGCTTCTGCATTCAGTCTGTTGTGACACAACACATCTTATAACCTTTGAAAAACTCTACTTTACACAATAAAAGAATGGGAATGAAAATGGCAAATAATTTTGTAGAATTATTAGGAAAATCATTTTATCTCACAGATCCTCATAAGTCTCAGAACTTCTTCTGATCTTTCTACAAAGGAAGAAACAATTTCTTTTTTGAGTTTATATCCACACAGTATTTTAAACACCGTGTACATAAATACAAAACAAAGCAATCAAATATTATTACTGTATACATGGACTTAATATCTTGCTTATTTTTTGTTACATCAACTCTTAATAAGTAGGATTAAGTGTACTTTGATCAGCTATAGGAAGCACTGTTATCCAACAAGCAGAAAAACTCATCTCACTCTCACTAGGTGACTAGCAAGCCTTATCTCAATCTGTGTGTCATGCTGATGTATGAACCAAAATCAATGCCTACAATTGGCTGCCTGCCTGTGAAAAGTAATTAAGCAAAGTAGAGAATCTCCATATGGTATAAAGACATATAAGATAATATTTTATATATAAAAAAATAATTATGTAATAAGCTTTTCTCTAGTTTGGTCATAAGACCATTATAGGACTTGAGTGTCCACAGCACTCTTCCTCAGTCTAATTATCTGTCCTTTTATTTCTGGAATTATAAGTAAATATTTGATCTCATAATTTTGAGTGGCATTATTCCCCAACATGGCAAAAATGTGCCACATAACTGCTGGTATTTCCTGTCTATGCTAGCAACATGTTGCTTCCTTATGCTGCCTGCCCCTTCCTTCCTTACCCATAGCGGCATTGTGCTGAAAAAAAAAAATTAGACATTATCTAAATTAAAAACTTTTCATCAAAAGGCATCATTAAGAAAATATTTAAACTACAGACTAGGAGAAATATTTGCAAAACATATATCTGAGAAAGGACTGGAATCCAGAATGTATAAAGAATTCCTCCAATACAATTATAGAAAGACCCAATGTAAAATGGACAAAAACACCAAGAAACTAGGAAAAAGAAGAACAAAGCAAACCTGGAGTTAGCAGTATAAAAGAAATAACAAAAATCAAAAGAGAACTAAATGAAATGGGGACAAAAAAATACAAAGAATCAATAAAACAAACAGTTGGTTTTTTAAAAAAAATTTAAAAATTTGATAAACAACTAGCTAGACTAAGCAAGAAAATAGAAAATCCATATAAACATAATCAGAAATCAAAATGAGACATTACAAGTGATGCAATAGAAATACAAAAGTTCATCAGAGACAATTACAAACAGCTATATAGTCATAAACTAGAAAACCCAGAGAAAATGAATAAGCTACTAGAACCACACAATCTTCTGGGGCTGAACCAGGAAGAAGTAGAACTCCTGAACAGATCAATAGTGAGTAGCAAGATTGAATCAGTAATAAAAAATCTCCCAAGAAAAAAATTGCTCAGAAACAGATGGATTTACAGCAAAATTCTACCAAATATGCAAAGAGTAACACCAATCCTTCTGAAACTATTCTAAAAAAATCAAGCAGGAGGAAATTCTCTTTAACTTATTCTACATGGTCAGTATCACCCTGATACCACAACCAGACAAGGACACAAGAAAAAAAGAAAACTACAAATCAATATCCCCGAGGAACATAGATACAAAAATTCTCATCAAAATACTAGCAAGTAGAATCAAATAGCACATCAAAAAGATAATACACCATGATCAGGTGGGATTTATCCCAGGGATGTAATGTTTCAACATGTGCAAATCAATAAATATGATGCATTACATAAACAGAATTAAAGACAAAAATTTTATGATCATCTAAATAGAGAGAGAGAAAGCACTCAATAAAATTTAGCACCCCTTTATGAGAAATATCCTCAACAAACTAGGCATAAAAGAAACATACCTCAACATAAAAAAGGCTATATATGACAAGGCCACAGTCAACATCTTACTTAATAGAGAAAAGTTTAAAGCATTTTCTCTGTGAACTAGAACAAGACAAGGATGCCCACTTTCGCCACTCTATTCAACATAGCACTGGAAGTCCTTGCCAGAGCAATCACGAAAGAAGAAAAAAAAGCATTTAGATTGAAAAAGAAGTCAATTTATTCCCGTTAACTGATGATATGATTTTGTATCCAGAAATATCTGAAGACTCCAATAAAAATACTCTTACATTTGATCAATGAGTTTAGTAAAGTTTTAGGATACACAATTGACATTCAGAAATCAGTAGCATTTCTGTACACCAATAATGATCTAACCAAGGACCTAATCAAGAAGTCAATCTCATTTACAACACATTTTTTTAAAACTTAGGAATGTATTTAACCAAGGATGCGAAAGACCTCTATAAGGAGAATTACAAAACACTGATGACAGAAATCGGAGACAACATCAACAAATGGAAAAATCCATGCTCATGGATTGGAAGAGCCAATATTGTTAAAATAACTATACTTCCCAAAGCAAACTACAGATTCAATGCAATCCCTATCAAATTACCAGCATTGTTTTACACAGAACTAGAAAAAAATTCCTAAAATTCATATAGACCAAAAAAAATAGACAAAATAGCCAAAGCAATCCTGATAAAAAAAACAACAAAGCTGGAGACATCACATTATCTGACTTCAAATCATACTACCAGGCTATAGTAACCAAAACAGCAAGCTACTGGCATTAAATTAGATACATAGAAAAGTGGAATAGAATGGAGAACCCAGAAATAAGGCTACATACTTACAATGAACTTATCTTTGGCAAAGTCAATAAAAATATACACTGAATAAATGGCATCCTATTCAATAAATGGTGTGAAGAAAATTTGCCATGTGCAGACATTAACCATATGCAGAAGAATGAAACTGGATGCATACCTTTCACCATATAAAATGTTAACTCAAGACAAATTAAAGTTTTAAATATAAGACTTGGAACTACAAATATCCTACAAGGAAACATAGGAAAACTCTCCTGAACATTGGCCTAGGCAAAGAATTTATGACCAAGACCCAAAAAGCAAATGGAACAAAACCAAAAATAGACAAATGGGACTTAATTAAACTAAAAAGCTTTTCCATAGCAAAAGAAACAATCAATAAAGTAAACAGCCAGCCTATAGAATGGAAGAAAATTTTTGCAAACTATACATCTGACCAAGGGTTAATATCCAGAATCTACAAGAAACTCAAACAACTCTACAAGAAAACAATAAATAATCCCATTAAAAAGTGGGCAAAAGACATGAACAGGCACTTTCTAAAGGAGACATACAGGTGACCAACAAACTTGAAGAAATGCTCATTATTACGAATCATCAAAGTAATGCAAATCAAAACCACAATGAGATATCATCTGATACCAGTTAGAATGGCTATTATTAAAAAGTCTAAAAACAGCAGCTGTTGGTGAGGATATGGAGAAAAAGAAATGTTTATACACTTTTGGTGGGGATGTAAATTAGTACAACATTTTTGGAAAACAGTATGGAGATTTTCCAAAGGATTAAAAAGGACTAAAAACGGAATGATCATTTGATCCAGCAATCCTGCTACCAGGTATATATGCAAAGAAAAGGAATCATTATATCAAAAAGATGTCTGCACTTGTATGTTTATAGCAGCATGATTCATGATTGTAAAGATATGGAATTAACCTAAGCACTCATCAACAGATGATTGGATAAAGATAATATTTTATGATATTATGTCCTTTGCGGCATCATAAATGGAACTGGAGGCCATTGTACTAAGTGAAATAACTCAGAAACAGAATTTGAATACTGCATGTTCTCACTTATAAGTGGGAGCTAAACAAAGGGTACACCTGGACATACAGAGTGTAATAATGACACGTGAGACTACAAAATGTGGGAGAGTGGGAGGGGATTGAGGATTGAAAAATTACTTATTGGGTGCATTGTTCACTATTGGGGTAATGGGTACGCTGAAAGCCTAGACTTCACCACTATGCAATATACACATGTAAGAAAACTGCATTTTTACCCCCTAAATATATAAATTAATTAAAATAATAAAATGTGCAAAAATTTGAACAGACACTTCACAAAGAGAAGAATGATCAATAACAAAAAATTATCTACAAAATATTTATCAAAAGAGTGAAAAATAAAATCACAGTGAAATACTACTAGAACCTACCAGAATGGCAAAAATTAAGGTCTGAAAGCATAAAATGTTAACAAGGAATTAAAGCAACTGAAAGTGAAACTGGGAGTATAAAGTGATACAACCACTTTGAAACAATTTCTGGCAGATTTTTATAAAATGAAATATATGTTCAACCTATAATCCAGCAATTTCACCACTAAATATTTACATAAGAGAAATAAAAGCATACATTTATAGAAAGACTTGTACAAGAATAATCACTGAAGATTACTCATAATAGTTCAAAACTGGAAACAGGGCAGGTATCCATCAACGTAAGACTAGATAAACTGTGGTGTGCCCATACAATTGAGTACGATTAAATTTTTTTAACTACCAATAGACACAACATAGAAGAATCCCAAAAACATTATGTTGAAAGAAGTTTTACAGAAAGGAATACACACTGTATGATTTTATTTATATGAAGAAGAGTTTACAAATTGTGTGTAAAGAGCCAGATAGTAAATGTTTAAACTTTATGGGTCATTAAGTAGTTGTAACTACTTAAATCTGCCGTTGTATTAAGAAAGCAGTTGAAGACAATAGGTAAACAAATAAGCATGGCTGTGTTTCAATAAAACTTTATTTATAAAAACAGGTGGTGGGCTGGATTTGGACCATGGGCTATAGTTTGATGACTCCTGATACAGAACAAGCAAAACTAATACATTACAGAATAAAGTTAGAACAATGGTTGCCTCTGAGGAATATGCAGATACAGTTTTATTGAGAAAGTTAACAGAGGAACTTCATGGGATCAATGCATTTGTTAGAACACATGGAATAATATATTCAGGAGTTGTGTTTTTCAAATCACATACGTTTTACCTCTAAGATAGGCAATTCTAAGATGATGTCTACAATTGATTTCCTCTGGAGAACATGCCCTGTGTGATTCCAGGGAATATGAATATAATGGATTTTACTTTCCTGATTAGGTTATGTTATATGTCACAGTTGACTTTAAAAAAAAGAGACTATATGGGTGGACCTGACCTAATCACATGGTCCCTTTAAATCTGGGTCTAGATGTCAGAAACAAAGAAGTCAGATAAATTTAAAGTGTGAGAGAGATTCAATACAAGGGAGGATTTTGGTTGCTAGATGAAGGGGGTCACATCTAAAGGGAGCCACATGGTAAGTAATATGGATGGTGGTATCCAGGAAATGAGAATAGCCCCTGCCTGATAGCTAGCAAGAAAACAGGAACTTCTATTCAATAGTCAAAAATGGTTCAGCATATGCGAATCAATAAATGTGACTCACAACATAAAATGCATCCAAATTGAAAAAAATAAAATTGTCCCTCTTTGCAGAAGACATGACCTTACATGTAGAAAAATCTTAAGACTTCACACACACACACAAAAAAACCTCTTGGGCCTGATAAACAAATTCAGTAAAGTTGCAGGATACAAAATCAGTGTACAATAATCAGTAACATTTTTATATACCAATAGTGAACTTGCAAAGAAAGAAATCAAGAAGGCATTCCAATTTGCAATGCCTACAAGAATATATCTAGGAATAAATTTAACCAAGGAGGTGAAAGACCTCTACAAGAAAAACTACAAAACACTGATGAAATAAATTGAAGACGACACAAACAAATAGAAATACATCCCATGCTCATGGATTAGCAGAATTAATATTGTAAAAATGGCCATACTACCCAAAGAAATCTACAGATTCAAAGCAATTCTTACAAAAAAACTGATGTAATTTTTCACAGAAATAGAAAAGAAATCTTAAAAATTTTGTATAAAACCAAAAAAAAAAAAAAAAGAGCTTGAATAGCCAAAGCAATTCTGAATAGAAAAAAATAAAGCTGGAGGCACCACACTGAGTGAATTCAAAATATATGAAAAGGCTATAGTAACCAAAATAGTATGATATTGTTATTAAAAAAACACACATAAACCAACAGAACAGAATTGAGAACACAGAAATAAATCGACATATTTACATCCAACTGATTTTTCACTAAGGTGCCAAAAGCATGCATTGCGGAATCGACACACTCTTCAATAAAGAGTACTGAGAAGGCCGGGCGTGGTGGCTCACGCCTGTAATCCCAGCACTTTGGGAGGCCGAGGCGGGTGGATCATGAGGTCAGGAGATCGAGACCATCCTGGCTAACAAGGTGAAACCCCGTCTCTACTAAAAATACAAAAAATTAGCCAGGCGCGGTGGCGGGCGCCTGTAGTCCCAGCTACTCGGGAGGCTGAGGCAGGAGAATGGCGTGAACCCAGGAAGCGGAGCTTGCAGTGAGCCGAGATTGTGCCACTGCAGTCCGCAGTCCGGCCTGGGCGACAGAGTGAGACTCCGTCTCAAAAAAAAAAAAAAAAAAAAAAAAAAAAAAAAAAAAAAAGAGTACTGAGAAAAATGGATATTCATATGCAGGACAATGAAATTAGACCCTTATCTCTCACCGTACACAAAAATCAACTCAAGATAGATTAAAAAGCTTAAAAGTGAGACCCCAAAGTATACAACAACTAGAATAATACATAGGAAAATACTTCAAACATTAGCCTAAAGAAAGATTTTATGGCTAAGATGTCAAAAGCATAGGCAACTAAAACATAGAGAATTGGAATTACATTAAGCTAAAAAGCTTTTGCACAGCAAAGGAATCAATAGAGTAAAGAGAAAAGCCACATAATAGGAGGGATTATTTGCAAACTCTCACATTCATCTGACAATGGACTAATATCTAGAATATATAGGAAATTCAAACAACTCAAGTAAAAACACTAATAATCTCATTAAAAATTGGAAAAAATACATTAACATATATTTCTCAAAAGAAGAAATACTAATGGCCAACAACTATGAAAAAAATGCTTAATTATGATTCACCATCAAGACAATGCAAATCAAAGCCACAATGAGATATCCTCTTACTCCAGTTAAAATGGCTATCACTAAAAAGACGAAAAACAACAAATGCTGGTGAGGATGAAGAGAGAGACTCTTATACACTGTAGAGGGGAATATAAATTAGTACAGCCACTATGAAAAATGGTATGGAGATTTCTCAAAGAACTAAAAGTAAAACTACCCTATGTTTCAGCATTCCTACTACTGGGTATATATCCAAGGGGGAAAAATCAGTATATCAAATAGCTGCACAGATGTTGGCAAGGATGTATAGAAGAGAGAATGCTTATACACTGTTGGTGTAATGTAAATTAGAGCAAACTATGGAAAATAGTATGAAAATTTCTCAAAAAACTACAAAAAGATCTACCCTTCAACTCAACCAACAATCCCACTACTGGGTATCTACCCAAAGGAAAATACGTCATTTTTTTTTTTTTTATTGAAAAGACACTTGTACTGGTATGTTCATTGCACCACTATTCACAATAGCAAAGTTATGGAATCAACCTAATTATTCATTAATCAATGATAAAATAAAGAAAATGTGGTATATATCTACCATGTAATACTACTCAGTTATAAACAAGATGAAATAATGTCTGTTGCAACAACATGGATGGAACTGGTGGCTATTATCTTTAGTGAAATGACTCAGAAATGGAAAGTTAAAACCCGCATGTTCTCACTTATATGTGGGAGCAAAACAATGGGTACACACGTACATACAAGTGGAATAATAGACACTCTACACTCCAAAAGGTGTGAGAGTGGGAGGGATAAGGGATGAAATACTACCTATTGGGTATAATGTACAGTAGTCAGGTAAGAGGTACACTAAAAGCCTAGATTTCACCACTGCACAATATATCCATGTAACATAACTGTACTTGTACCCCTAAATCTATAAAAATAAAAATTAAATTTAAAAAGACAGCTGCACTCTCATGTTTATTACAGCACTACTCACAAAAGAAAATATATGGAATAAACGTATCAATCAACAGACAAATTGATAAAGAGACTGCGATACATATACACAATGGAATACTATTTGGCCAGTAAAATAGAATGAAATCATGTCATTTGTAGCAACATGTGTGGAACTGGAAGTCATTATGTTAAGTGAGATAAGCCAGGCACAGAAAAACAAATATGACGTGTTGTCACTCATATGTGGGAGATTAAAAAAAGTTGATGTCATGGAGGTAGAGAGTAAAATGATGAATACCAGAGGCTGGAAAAGGTGTGTGTATTGGGGGTGGGGAATAAAGAGTGGTTGGTTAATGGGTACAATTATTTCCATTATGTTAGATAGGAGAATTGTGCTCTAATATATGATAGCAGACTAGGGTAACTATAGTTAAGAACAATGTACTGTATACTTCAAAATAGCTAAAAGGGAGGAGCTTGACATCTTTCCAATGCATAAAAATGATAAATATTCAAGTTGATGAATACTGTAAATACCTTAACTTATCATTAAACATTATATGCATGTAATAAAATATCACATGTCCTCATAAATATGTGCAAATATTATCTGTAAATAAAAACCCCCTTGATGTTGATCTTGGCAATAATTTTTTGGATATGAAATCAAAAACACAGGCAGCAATAGCAAAATAAACAAGTGGAACTACATCAAATTAAAAAGTTTATTTTTTTGCTTTTTTAACTTTTATTTTAAGTTCGGGGTACGTGTGCAGGTTTGTTACACAGATAAAACATGTGTCATGGGGGTTTATTGTACAGACTATTTCATCGCTTGAGTATTAAGCCTAGTACACATTAGTTATTTTTCCTGATGCTCTCCCTCCTCCAAATCTCCACCCTCCAATAGGCCCCTGAGTGTGTTATTCCACTCTTAATTTGTTCATGTGTTCTTATCATTTAGCTCCCACATATATTGAGAACATGCAGTATTTGGTTTTCTGTTTCTGTGTTAGTTTGCTAAAAATAATGGCCTCCAACTCTATCCATGTCTCTGAAAAGGACATAATCTAGTTCTTCTTTATGGCTGTATAGTATTCCATATTGTATATGTACCACATTTTCTTTATCCAGTTTATCATTGATGGGCATTTAGGTTGATTCCATGTCTTTGCTATTGTGAATAATGTTGCAGTGAACACACATGTGTGTGTGTCTTTATAATCGAATGATTTATATTCCTTTGGGTATATACACAGTTACGGAGTTGTTGGGTCAAATGGTATTTCCATCTCTTTTTATTTATTTTTTTTAATTTTACTTTAAGTTCTGGGATACATGTGCAGAAGGTGCACGTTTGTTGCATAGGTGTATGTGTGCCATGGTAGCTTGCTGCACCTATCAACCCATCACCTAGGTTTTAAGCTCTGCAGGGATTAGCTATTTGTCCTGATGCTGTCCCTCCTCTCATTGCCCCTTCCCTGACAGTCCCTGGTGTGTGTTGTTTCTCTTCTTCTGCCCATGTGTTCTCATTGCTTAACTCACATTTATGAGTGAGAACATGTGGTGTTTGGTTTTCTGTTCCTGTGTTAGTTTGCTGAGGATGATGGCTTCCAGCTTAATCCATGTCCCTGCAAGGGACATAATCTCATTCCTATTCATGGCTGCAGAATATTCCATGTTGTATATGTACCACATTTTCTTTATCCAGTCTATCATTGCTGGGCATTTGGGTTAGTTCCATGTCTTTATTATTGTGAATAGTGTTGCAATAAACATGTGTGCATGTAACTTTATAATAGAATGACTTATATTCCCTTGGGTATATACCCAGTAATGGGATTGCTGGGTCAAATGGTATTTCTGGTTCTAGATTATTGAGGAATTGCCACACTGTCTTCCACAATGGTTGAATTAATTTACATTCCCACCAACAGTGTAAAAGCATTCCTATTTCTCCACAGCCTCACGAGCATCTGCTGTTTCTTGACTTTTTAGTAATCGCCATTCTCACTGATGTGAGATGGTATCACATTGACTTTTTGATTTTCATTTCTCTAATAATTAGTGATGTTGAGCTCATTTTCACATGTTTGTTGGCCGCATGTCGTCTTTTGAGAATTGTCTGTTCACATCCTTTGCCCACTTTTTTAATGCAGTTGTTTGGTTTTTTCTTGTAAATTTGTTTAAGTTCCTTGTAGATTTTGGATATTAGACCTTTGTCAGATGGATAGATTGCAAACCTTTTCTCCCATTCTTTACGTTGCCTATTCACTCTGATGATAGTTTGTTTGACTGTAGCAGAAGCTCTTTAGATTAATTAAATCCCATTTTTCAATATTTGCTTTTATTACAATTGCTTTTGATGATTTCATCATAAAATATTCGCCCATGCCTATGTCCTGAATGGTATTACCTAGGTTTTCTTCTAGGGCTTTTATGGTTTTTGGTTTTATATTTGTCTTTAATATATCTTGAGTTAAATTTTCTTTTTTTTTTTAATTATTATTATACTTTAAGTTTTAGGATACATGTGCACAATGTGGAGGTTTGTTACATGTGTATACATGTGCCATGTTGGTGTGCTGCACCCATTAACTCGTCATTTAGCATTAGGTATACCTCCTAATGCTATCCCTCCCCTCTCCCCCCACCCCACAACAGTCCCCAGAGTGTGATGTTCCCCTTCCTGTGTCCAAGTGTTCTCATTGTTCAATTCCCACCTATGAGTGAGAACATGCAGTGTTTGGTTTTTTGTCCTTGCGATAGTTTGCTGAGAATGATGGTTTCCAGTTTCATCCATGTCCCTAAAAAGGACAGGAACTCATCATTTTTTATGGCTGCATAGTATTCCATGGTGTATATGTGCCACATTTTCTTAATCCAGTCTATCATTGTTGGACATTTGGGTTGGTTCCAAGTCTTTGCTATTGTGAATAGTGCCACAATAAACATATGTGTGCATGTGTCTTTATAGCAGCATGGTTTATAATCCTTTGGGTATATACTCAGTATTGGGATGGCTGGGTCAAATGGTATTTCTAGTTCTAGATCCCTGAGGAATCGCCACACTGTCTTCCACAATGGTTGAACTAGTTTACAGTCCCACCAACAGCGTAAAAGTGTTCCTATTTCTCCACATCCTCTCCAGTACCTGTTGTTTCCTGACTTTTTAATGATTGCCATTCTAACTGGTGTGAGATGGTATCTCATTGTGGTTTTGATTTGCATTTATCTGATGGCCAGTGATGATGAGCATTTTTTCATGTGGTTTTTGGCTGCATAAATGTCTTTTGAGAAATGTCTGTTCATGACCTTCACCCACTTTTTGATGGGGTTGTTTGTTTTTTTCTTGTAAATTTGTTTGAGTTCATTGTAGATTCTGGATATTAGCCCTTTGTCAGATGAGTAGGTTGTGAAAATTTTCTCCCATTTTGTAGGTTGCCTGTTCACTCTGATGGTAGTTTCTTTTGCTGTGCAGAAGCTCTTTAGTTTAATTAGATCCCATTTGTCAATTTTGGTTTTTGTTAAATTTTCTATAAGGTTTAAGGAAGGGGTCCAGTTTTAGTTTTCTGCACATGGCTAGCTAGTTTTTTCAGCACCATTTATTAAACAGGGAATCCTTTCCCCATTGCTTGTTTTTGTCAGGTTTGTCAAAGATCAGATAGCTGTAGATGTGCATTCTTATTTCTAAAATCTCTATTCTATTCCATTGGTCAATGTGTCTGTTTTTGTACCAGTACCATGCTGTTTTGGTTACTGTAGCCTTGTAGTGTAGTTTGAACTCAGGTAGTGTGATGCCCCCAGCTTTGTTCTTTTGGTTTAGGATTGTCTTGGCTATACAGGCTCTTTTCTGGTTCCATATGAGTTTTTAAGTAGTTTGTTTTTTCTAATTCTGTGAAGAATGTCAATAGTAGTTTGATGGGAATAGCCTTGAATCTATAAATTACTTTGGGCATCATGGTCATTTTCACAATATTAATTATTTCTATTTATAAGGATGGAATCTTTTCCCATTTGTTTGTGTCTTCTCTTATTTCCTTGAGCAATGGTTCATAGTTCTCCTTGAAGAGTTCCTTCATATCTCTTGTTAGCTGTATTCCTAGGTATTTTATTCTCTTTGTAACAATTGTAAATAGAAGTTCATTCATGATTTGGCTCTCTGCTTGTCTATTATTGTGTGTAAGAATTATTGAGATTTTTGCACATTGATTTTGTATACTGAGATTTTACTGAAGTTGCTTATCAGCTTAAGGAGCTTTTGGGCTGAGATGATGGAGTTTTCTAAACATAAAATCATGTCATCTACCAACAGAGACAATTTGACTTTCTGTCTTCCTATTTGAATATCCCTTATTTATTTCTCTTGCTTGATTGCCCTGGGCAGAACTTCCAATACTCTGTTTAATATGAGTGGTGAGAAAGGGCATTTTTGTTTTTTGCAAGCTTTAAAAAAGAATGCTTCCAGCTTTTTCCCATTCAGTATGATATTGGCTGTGGGTTTATCATAAACAGCTCTTATTATTTTGAGATATGTTCCATCAATACCTAGTTCATTGAGAGTTTTTAACATGAAGGGATGTTGAATTTTATCAGAGGCCTTTTCTGCATCTAATGAGATATTCATAGTTTTTTTGTCATTGGTTCTGTTTATGTGATAAATTACGTTTATTAATTTGAATATGTTGAATCGGCCTTGCATCCCAGGTAGAAAGCCAACTTGATCATGGTAGATAAGCTTTTTGATGTGCTGCTGGGTTCGGTTTGCCAGTATTTTATTGAGGATTTTTGCATTGATGTTCATCAGGAATATTGGCCTGAAGTTTTCTTTTTTTGTTATGTCTCTGCCAAGTTTTGGTATCAGGATGATGCTGGCCTCATAAAATGAGTTAGGGAGGAGTTCCTCCTTTTTAATTGTTTGGAATAGTTTCAGAAGGTATGGTACTGATACGGAAGGGAAGTGGGGGGAAGGGAAGGGAATGGTCACTTTAAATAATACAGAAGGAGGGAAGGAAAGTGCTGGGTGTAAGAGAGCATAGTCCCTGGCTAGGGCTCCACCCCCGGGCCTGTGCACACAGATCTAGGTGAGGACAGGCAGTTTTTGCTTTTCTGCCCAAATGTTGCATTTTCCAAGACCGCTCTAGCCCACCATGCCCCCATCCTGTGCCTATTAAAAAAAACCCCAAGACCCTAACAAGCAGACACACAAGCAGCTAGACATCAAGAGGAACACATCGGTAAAAGAAGACACAGGTGGCTGGATGTCGAGAGGAACACATCAGCAGAGGAATACACAGGAGGCTGGATGTCTAGAGGGACACACAGACAGGCACTGGCCCACCAGCAGGCTACCGACTGGCAGAATGATGTTGAGTTTGGCTGGCATAGTTGAAAGAGAGCTTGGCCCACCAAGCAGCCTGACTCCGGGGAAAACTATCTAACTTCTGGCTCCCCCACCTGCTGAGAGCTATTTCCACTCAATTAAACCTGGCACTCATTCTCCAAGCCCACGTGTGATCCGATTCTCCAAGCACACCGAGGCAAGAACCCTGAGATACAGAAAGCCCTCTGTCCCTGTGATAAGACAGGGTGGTCTAATTTAGTTGACTAACACAAGCCACCTACAGATGGCCAAACTAAAAGAACAACCTGTAACACATGGCCACTGGGGCTTCAGCTGTAAACATTCACCCCTAGACACTGCTGTGGGGTTGGAGCCCTACAGCCCGCCCATCTGTAAGCTCCTCTAGAGGTTTGAGCAGTGGGGCACTGACGAAGTGAGCCACACCCCCATCGCATGCCCTGTGAGGGGGACAAGGGATAGGTTCCCCTTTCAGTACCAGCTCCTCTTTGAACCTCTGTTACAATTTGGCTGTGAATCCATCTGTTTCTGGGCTTTGTTTTGGGTTGGTAGGCTATTTATTACTGCCTCAATCTCAGAGCATGTTATTGGCCTATTCAGGGATTTGACTTCTTCCTGGTTTAGTCTTCGGAGAGTGTATGTGTCCAGGAATTTATCCATTTCTTCTAGATTTTCTAGTTTATTTGCATAGAGGCATTTATAGTATTCGCTGATGGCAGTTTGTATCTCTGTTGGGTCAGAGGTAATATTCCCTCTGTTATTTTTTATTGTGCCTATTTTATTCTTCTCTCTTTTCTTCTTTATTAGTCTAGCTAGTGATGTATCTGTTTTACTATTATTTTTTAAAATTCAACTCTTGAATTTGTTAATTTTTTGAAGGGGTTTTTTGTGTCTCTATCTCCTTTGGTTCCTCTCTGATCTTATTTTTTGCCTTTTGCTAGCTTTTGGATTTTTTTTGCTCTTGCTTCTCTAGTTTGATTAATTCTGATGTTAGGGTGTTGATTTAAGATCTTTCTAGCTTTCTGATGTGGGCATTTAGTGCTATAAATTTCCCTCTTAACACTGCTTTAATTGTGTCTCAGAGATTCTGGTACATTGTCTTTGTTCTTGTTGGTTTCAATGAACTTCTTTATTTCTACCTTAATTTCATTATTTACCCAGGAGTCATTCAGGAGCAGTTGTTCAATTTCCATGTAGTTGTGTGGTTTTGAGTGAGTTTCTTATTCTTGAGTTCCAATATGATTGCACTGTGGTCTGACAGACTGTTTCTCATTATATGAGTAATTTTACATTAGCTGAGGAGTGTTTTACTTCCAATTATGTGGTCAATTTTAGAATGAGTGTCATGTGGTACTGAGAAGAATGTATATTCTGTTGTTCTGGGATGGAGAGTTCTGTCAGTATCTAATAGGTTCACTTGATCCAGAGCTGAGTTCAAGTCCCGAATATCCTTGTTAATTTTCTGTCTTGTTGATCTTTCTAATATTGACAGTGGGGTGTTAAAGTCTTCCATTATTGTTGTGTGGGAGTTTAAGTCTCTTTTTAGGTCCCTAAGAACTTGTTTTATAAATCTGGGTGCTCCTGTATTGGATTTCTATATATTTAGGAACTTGTTGAATTGATCCCTTTAAAATTATGTAATACTCTTCTTTTTCTTTATTGATCTTCATTGGTTTAAAGTCTGTTTTGTCAGAGAGTAAGATTGTAACCCCTGCTTTTTATTGCTTTTCATTTGCTTGATAAATATCTCTCCATCTCTTTATTTTGAGCCTATGTGTGTCTTGCACATGAGATGGATCTCTTGAATACAGCACACGAATGAGTCTTGATTATTTATCCAATTTGCCAGTTTATGTGTTTTCAAATTAAAAAGTTTCCGCATTGCAAAGCACATAATTAACAAAACTAAAAGGTACCTTACAGACCCACCAACAGTGTAAAAGTGTTCCTACTTCTCCACAGCCTCTCAAGCACCTGTTGTTTCCTGACTTTTTAATGATCGCCATTCTAGCCAGTGTGAGATGGTATCTCATTGTTTTGATTTGCATTTCTCTAATGACCAGTGATGACGAGCATTTTTTCATGTGTCTGTTGGCTGCATAAATGTCTTCTTTTCAGAAGTGTCTGTTCATATCCTTTGCCCACTTTTTGATAGGGTTGTCTGTTTTTTTCTTGTAAATTTGTTTGAGTTCTTTGTAGTTTCTGGATATTAGCCCTTTGTCAGATGAGTAGATTGCAAAAATTTTCTCCCATTCTGTAGGTTGCCTGTTCACTCTGATGGTAGTTTCTTTTGCTGTGCAGAAGCTCTTTAGTTTAATTAGATCCCATTTGTTGCCATTGCTTTACACTGTTGGTGGGACTGTAAACTGGTTCAACTGTTGTGGAAGACAGTGTGGCAATTCCTCAAGGATCTAGAACTAGAAATACCATTTGACCTAGCCATCCCATTACCGGGTATATACCCAAAGGATTATAAATCATGCTGCTATAAAGACACATGCACACGTGTGTTTATTGCGGCACTATTCACAGTAGCAAAGACTTGGAACCAACCCAAATGTCCATCAATGATAGACTGGATTAAGAAAATGTGGCACATATACACCATGGAATACTATGCAGCCATAAAAAAGGATGAGTTCATGTCCTTTATAGGGACATGGATGAAGCTGGAAACCATCACTCTCAGCAAACTATCGCAGGGACAAAAAACCAAACACCGCATGTTCTCACTCACAGATGGGAATTGAACAATGAGAACACTTGGACACAGGAAGGGGAACATCACACACCAGGGCCTGTCATGGGGTGGGGGGAGAGGGAAGGGATAGCATTAGGAGATATACCTAATGTCAATGACGAGTTCATCGGTGCAGCACACCAACATGGCACATGTATACATATGTAACAAACCTGCACATTGTGCACATGTACCCTAGAACTTAAAGTATTAAAAAAAAACAGAAAGAAAACCTATTTGATTGGTTAGAGTGAAAAGACCCTAGTTAGAGGCTAGTTGCTGTTTTCTGACTGGTAAAGTCCCTTGTTTCATTTTACTGTTTACATTGAGCTTCAGTTTGCTTACTTAAAGCACTGGAGCTACCCAGCCTAATGACCTCCTAAATTAAAAAAATTATAATAATAATGAATAGAACATACAAAACGTAGTTCTTACCATTCCTAAAAATTTCATTCCATATGAAAGAATGCTAAAGTTCAAATACAATACCCATTCATTTAATATACAATAACCATTGCATGTATGGAAATTAATCCTCTCCATTACTATATACCCAGAGCCTGCCTCAACACTTGGCTCATATTAAATTCTTAATAGATATTTGCTTAATCAAATGTTAAAATTATTGAGAAATACATTGGAACTAAGAAATTAACAGATAAAACAGGTTACAGAAGAAGTGATGGTGAGCAATAAAATAGGTTAAATAATTAAATCTTTGAAAGGAGGTGTAATGTAATTATAAAACTGAATGTATCTGAGATTTCTGTGATATGGATTTTATTATTTGAAAATTTTCTTGATCAGAACATTCCAGAATTATTTATTGAAACTAGGAAGTGATAGGATAATGAGAGAGAGGTAAAGAGTAAGGTATTCTACATCTCATCTTTTATAAGGTGAAGTAAGCAGTTACCATCTCTGTCTTTATATTGGCATGTAGGAGGAAATTAATTTTATTATGAATAATAATAAAATAAAACCATAATGTAAAATTTTTTTCTTTTTTTATACTTTAAGTTTTAGAGTACATTTGCACAACGTGCAGGTTTGTTACATATGTATACATGTGCCATGTTGGTGTGCTGCATCCATGAACTCGTCATTTAGCATTAGGTATATCTCCTAATGCTATCCCTCCCCCATCCCCCCCACCCCAAAACAGGCCCCGGTGTGTGATGTTCCCCTTCCTGTGCCCATGTGTTCTCATTGTTCAATTCCCACCTAAGAGTGAGAACATGCGGTGTTTGGTTTTTTGTCCTTGCAATAGTTTGCTGAGAATGATGGTTTACAGCTTCATCCATGTCCCTACAGAGGACATGAACTCATCATTTTTTATGGCTGCATAGTATTCCATGGTGTATATGTGCCACATTTTCTTAATCCAGTCTATCATTGTTGGACATTTGGGTTGGTTCCAAGTCTTTGCTATTGTGAATAGTGCCACAATACACACACGTGTGCATGTGTCTCTATAGCAGCATGATTTATAATCCTTTGGGTATATACCCAGTAATGGGATGGCTGGGTCAAATGGTATTTCTAGTTCTAGATCCCTGAGGAATCGCCACACTGACTTCCACAATGGTTGAACTAGTTTACAGTCCCACCAACAGTGTAAAAGTGTTCCTATTTCTCCACATCCTCTCCAGCACCTGTTGTTTCCTGACTTTTTAATGATCACCATTCTAACTGGTGTGAGATGGTATCTCATTGTGGTTTTGATTTGCATTTCTCTGATGGCCAGCGATGATGAGCATTTTTTCATGTGTCTTTTGGCTGCATAAATGTCTTCTTTTGAGAAATGTCTGTTCATGACCTTCACCCACTTTTTGATGGGGTTGTTTGTTTTTTTCTTGTAAATTTGTTTGACTTCATTGTAGATTCTGGATATTAGCCCTTTGTCAGATGAGTAGGTTGTGAAAATTTTCTCCCATTTTATGGGTTGCCTGTTCACTTTGATGGTAGTTTCTTTTGCTGTGCAGAAGCTCTTTAGTTTGATTAGATCCCATTTGTCAATTTTTGCTTTTGTTGCCATTGCTTTTGGTGTTTTAGACATGAAGTCCTTGCCCATGCCTATGTCCTGAATGGTAATGCCTAGGTTTTCTTCTAGGGTTGTTATGGTTTTAGGTCTGACATGTAAGTCTTTAATCTATCTTGAATTAATTTTTGTATAAGGTGTAAGGAAGGGATCCAGTTTCAGTTTTCTACATATGGCTAGCCAGTTTTCCCAGCACCATTTATTAAATAGAGAATCCTTTCCCCATTGCTTGTTTTTCTCAGGTTTGTCAAAGATCAGATAGTTGTAGATATGTGGCGTTATTTCTGAGGGCTCTGTTCTGTTCCATTGATCTATATCTCTGTTTTGGTACCAGTACTATGCTGTTTTGGTTACAGTAGCCTTGTAGTACAGTTTCAAGTCAGGTAGCGTGATGCCTCCAGCTTTGTTCTTTTGGCTTAGGATTGACTTGGCGATACGGGCTCTTTTTTGGTTCCATATGAACTTTAAAGTAGTTTTTTCCAATTCTGTGAAGAAAGTCATTGGTAGCTTGATGGGGATGGCATTGAATCTAGAAATTACCTTGGGCAGTATTGCCATTTTCACGATATTGATTCTTCCTACCCATGAGCATGGAATGTTCTTCCATTTGTTTGTATCCTCTTTTATTTCACTGAGCAGTGGTTTGTAGTTCTCCTTGAAGAAGTCCTTCACATCCCTTGTAAGTTGGATTCCTAGGTATTTTATTCTCTTTGAAGCAATTGTGAATGGGAGTTCACTCATGATTTGGCTCTCTGTCTGTTATTGGTGTATGAGAATGCTTGTGATTTTTGTACATTGATTTTATATCCTGAGACTTTGCTGAAGTTGCTTATCAGCTTAAGGAGATTTTGGGCTGAGACAATGGGGTTTTCTAGATATACAATCATGTCATCTGCAAACAGGGACAATTTGACTTCCTCTTTTCCTAATTGAACACCCTTTATTTCCTTCTCCTGCCTAATTGCCCTGGCCAGAACTTCCAACACTATGTTGAATAGGAGTGGTGAGAGAGGGCATCCCTGTCTTGTGCCAGTTTTCAAAGGGAATGCTTCCAGTTTTTGCCCATTCAGTATGGTATTGGTTGTGGGTTTGTCATAGATAGCTCTTATTATTTTGAGATACGTCCCATCGATACCTAATTTACTGAGAGTTTTTAGCATGAAGCGTTGTTGAATTTTGTCAAAGGCCTTTTCTGCATCTATTGAGACAATCATGTGGTTTTTGTCTTTGGTTCTGTTTATATGCTGGATTACATTTATTGATTTGCATTTATTGAACCAGCCTTGCATCCCAGGGATGAAGCCCACTTGATCATGGTGGATAAGCTTTTTGATGTGCTGCTGGATTTGGTTTGCCAGTATTTTATTGAGGATTTTTGCATCGATGTTCATCAAGGAGAGTGGTCTAAAATTCTCTTTTTTTGTTGTGTCTCTGCCAGGCTTTGGTATCAGGATGATGCTGGCCTCATAAAATGAGTTAGGGAGGATTCCCTCTTTTTCTATTGATGGAATAGTTTCAGAAGGAATGGTACCAGTTCCTCCTTGTACCTCTGGTAGAATTCGGCTGTGAATCCATCTGGTCCTGTACTCTTTTTGGTTGGTAAGCTATTGATTATTGCCACAATTTCAGAGCCTGTTATTCGTCTATTCGGAGATTCAACTTCTTCCTGGTTTAGTCTTGGGAGGGTGTATGTGTCGAGGAATTTATCCATTTCTTCTAGATTTTCTAGTTTATTTGCATAGATGTGTTTGTAGTATTCTCTGATGGTAGTTGGTCTTTCTGTGGGATCAGTGGTGATATCCCCTTTATCATTTTTTATTGCGTCTATTTGATTCTTCTCTCTTTTCTTCTTTATTAGTCTTGCTAGAGGTCTATCAATTTTGTTGATCCTTTCAAAAAACCAGCTCCTGGATTCATTAATTTTTTGAAGGCTTTTTTGTGTCTCTATTTCCTTCAGTTCTGCTCTGATTTTAGTTATTTCTTACCTTCTGCTAGCTTTTGAATGTATTTGCTCTTGCTTTTCTAGTTCTTTTAATTGTGATGTTAGGGTGTCAATTTTGGATCTTTCCTGCTTTCTCTTGTGGGCATTTAGTGCTATAAATTTCCCTCTACACACTGCTTTGAATGTGTCCCAGAGATTCTGGTATGCTGTGTCTTTGTTCTCCTTGGTTTCAAAGAACATCTTTATTTCTGCCTTCAATTCGTTATGTACCGAGTATTCATTCGGGGCAGGTTGTTCAGTTTCCATGTAGTTGAGTGGTTTTGAGTGAATTTCTTAATCCTGAGTTCTAGTTTCATTGCACTGTGGTCTGAGAGAGAGTTTGTTATAATTTCTGTTCTTTTACATTTGCTGAGTAGAGCTTTACTTCCAACTATGTGGTCAATTTTGGAATAGGTGTGGTGTGGTGCTGAAAAAAATGTATATTCTGTTGATTTTGGGTGGAGAGTTCTGTAGATGTCTATTAGGTCCGCTTAGTGCAGAGCTGAGTTCAATTCCTGGATATCCTTGTTAACTTTCTGTCTCATTGATCTGCCTAATGTTGACAGTGGGGTGTTAAAGTCTCCCATTATTATTGTGTGGGAGTCTAAGTCTCTTTGTAGGTCACTCAGGACTTGCTTTATGAATCTGGGTGCTCCTGTATTGGGTGCATATACATTTAGGATAGTTAGCTCTTCTTATTGAATTGATCCCTTTACCATTATGTAATGGCCTTCTTTGTCTCTTTTGATCTCTGTTGTTTTAAAGTCTGTTTTATCAGAGACTAGGATTGCAATCTCTGCCTTTTTTTGTTTTCCATTTGCTTGGTAGATCTTCCTCCATCCTTTTATTTTGAGCCTATGTGTGTCTCTGCCCATGAGATGGGTTTCCTGAATACAACACACTGATGGGTCTTGACTCTTTATCCAATTTGCCAGTCTGTGTCTTTTAGTTGGAGCATTTAGTCCATTTACATTTAAAGTTACTATTGTTATGTGTGAATTTGATCCTGTCATTATGGTGTTAGCTGGTTATTTTGCTCATTAGTTGATGCAGTTTCTTCCTAGCCTCCATGGTCTTTACAATTTGGCATGATTTTGCAGTGGCTGGTACCGGTTTTTCATTTCCATGTTTAGTGCTTCCTTCAGGAGCTCTTTTAGGGCAGGCCTGATGGTGACAAAATCTCTCAGCATTTGCTTGTCTGTAAAGTATTTTATTTCTCCTTCACTTATGAAACTTAGTTTGGCTGGATATGAAATTCTGGGTTGAAAATTCTTTTCTTTAAGAATGTTGAATATTGGCCCCCACTCTCTTCTGGCTTGTAGAGTTTCTCCCGAGAGATCTGCTGTTAGTCTGATGGGCTTCCCTTTGCGGGTAACCCGACCTTTCTCTCTGGCTGCCCTTAACATTTTTACCTTCATTTCAACTTTGGTGAGTCTGACAATTACATGTCTTAGAGTTGCTCTTCTCGAGGAGTATCTTTGTTGCATTTTCTGTATTTCCTGAATCTGAATGTTGGCCTGCCTTGCTAGATTGGGGAAGTTCTCCTGGATAATATCCTGCAGAGTGTTTTCCAACTTGGTTCCATTCTCCCCGTCACTTTCAGGTACACCAATCAGATGTAGATTTGGTCTTTTCACTTAGTCCCATATTTCCTGGAGGATTTGTTTGTTTCTTTTTACTCTTTTTTCTCTAAACTTCCCTTCTCGCTTCATTTCATTCATTTCATCTTCCATCACTGATACCCTTTCTTCCAGTTGATCGCATCGGCTCCTCAGGCTTCTGCATTCTTCACGTATTTCTTGAGCCTTGGCTTTCAGCTCCATCAGCTCCTTTAAGCACTTCTCTGTATTGGTTATTCTAGTTATACATTCATCTAAATTTTTTTCAAAGTTTTTAACTTCCTTGCCTTTGGTTTGAATTTCCTCCTGTAGCTTGGAGTAGTTTGATCATCTGAAGCTTTCTTCTCTCAACTCATCAAAGTCATTCTCCATCCAGCTTTGTTCCGTTGCTGGTGAGGAACTGCGTTCCTTTGGAGGAGGAGAGGCGCTCTGCTTTTTAGAGTTTCCAGTTTTTCTGCTCTGTTTTTTCCCCATCTTTATGGGTTTATCTGCTTTTGGTCTATGATGATGGGATGTACAGATGAGTTTTTGGTGTGGATGTCCTTTCTGTTTGTTAGTTTTCCTTCTAACAGACAGGACCCTCAGCTGCAGGTCTGTTGGAGTTTGCTAGAGGTCCACTCCAGACCCTGTTTGCCTGGATACCAGCAGCAGTGGCTGCAGAACAACGGACTTTCGTGAACCGCGAATGCTGCTGTCTGATCGTTCCTCTGGAAGTTTTGTCTCAGAGGAGTACCCGGCCGTGTGAGGTGTCCGTCTGCCCCTACTGGGCTGTGTCTCTCAGACTGCTCAGGGATCAGGGGTCAGGGACCCACTTGAGGAGGCAGTCTGCCCGTTCTCAGATCTCCAGCTGCGTGCTGGGAGAACCACTGCTCTCTTCAAAGCTGTCAGACAGGGACATGTAAGTCTGCAGAGGTTACTGCTGTCTTTTTGTTTGTCTGTGCCCTGCCCCCAGAGGTGGAGCCTACAGAGGCAGGCAGGCCTCCTTGAGCTGCGGTGGGCTCCACCGAGTTCAAGTTTCCCTGGCTGCTTTGTTTACCTAAGCAAGCCTGGGCAATGGCGGGCGCCCCTCCCCCAGCCTCGCTGCCACCTTGCAGTTTGATCTCAGACTGCTGTGCTAGCAATCAGCGAGACTCCGTGGGCTTGGGACCCTCTGAGCCAGATGCAAGATATAATCTGCTGGTGTGCCGTTTTTCAAGCCCGTTGGAAAAGTGCAGTATTAAGGTGGGAGTGACCCAATTTTCCAGGTGCCATCTGTCACCTCTTTCTTTGACTCGGAAAGGGAACTCCCTGACCCCTTGCGCTTCCCGAGTGAGGCAATGCCTCGCCCTGCTTTGGCTCACACATGGTGCGCTGCACCCACTGTCCTGCGCCCACTGTCTGGCACTTCCTAGTGAGATGAACCCGGTACCTCAGATGGAAATGCAGAAATCACCCGTCTTCTGTGTCGCTCACTCTGGGAGCTGTAGACCAGAGCTGTTCCTATTCGGCCATCTTGGCTCCATCCCCGATCATTTTGTTTATCATGACCAAGTGAGATTTATCCCAGAGACACCAGAAGGATGGTTCAACATGTGCAAATCAATCAACATGTTACATCATAAAAACAGAATGAAGGGCAAAAACCATATGATCATTTCAATTGATGCTGAAAAAGCATTTGATAAAGTTCAGCATCCCTTCATAATAAAAATCTGAAAAAACTGGGTCTAGAAGGAACATACTCCAATACAATAAAATGCATATATGATAGACCAATATCTGGTATCATAATGAATGGGGAAAATTTGAAAACATTTTCTCTAAGATCTGGAAAAAAATCAGGGATGAGCACTCATTTTTACTATTTTTTTCAACATAGTACAAGAAATCAACAGACAAAGAGAGAAATAAAGAACATTTACATTCAAAAGGTGGAAGTCAAATTATCCTTGTTTGCAGACGATATAATCTTATATCTGGAAAAACCAAAAGACTCCCCAAAACAAATTATTAGAACTGAGAAACAAATTCAGTACAGTTACAGGATAAAAAAAATCACCATACAAAAATCAGTAGCATTTCTATATGCCAATAGAAAACAATCTGAAAAAAAGAAATCAAGAAAGTAATCTCATTTACAATAGCTACAAATAAAATAAAATACTTAGGAGTTAACCTAATAAAAGAAGTGAAAGATCTCTACAATAAAAAGTGTAAAACATTGATGTACGAAACTGAAAACAAAAATAAAATGGAAAGGTGTCCCATGTTCATGATTTGGAGAAATCAACATTGCTAAAATGTCCATGCTACCCAAAGCAATATACAGATTCAATGCAGTCCCCATTAAAATACCAATGACATTCTTGACATTTAAAAAAAATTATTTTAGGTTCAGGGATACATGTGCATGTTTGTTACATAGGTAAATAGAATATCACAGAGGTTTAGTGTACAGACTATATTGTCACCCAAGTAATAAGCATAGTATCTGGTAGTTTTTTAATTCTCACCTTCCTCCCACATTCCAACTTTAAGTAGGTCCTGTAGGTCCTTTCCCTTATTTTTGTCCATGTGTACTAATATTTAGCTCCCACTTGTAAGTGAGAACATGCAGCACTTAGTTTTCTATTTCTGCATTATTTTGCTTAGACTTATGGTCTCCTGCTCCATCCATTTTTGCTGCAAATGACATGATCACATTTTTAATAGCTGTGTAGTATTCCATGGTGTATATTTTCTTATCTGATCTATCTTTTGTGGGCATTTAGGTCGATTCCATAACTTTGCTATTGTAAATAGTGCTGCCATGAATATACCCATGCATGTGTATTTTTGGCAGGACAATTTAAATTATTTTGGGTATACACCAAATAATGGGATTACTGGGTAAAATAGCACTTCTGTTTTAAGTTTTTTTGAGAATTTTAAAAACTACTTTCCACAAGAGTTAAACTAACTTCCATTCTCACCAGCAGAATGTAAGCATTTCCTTTTCCCTGCAACCTTGCCAGCATCTGTTACTGCTTGACTTTTTAATAGTAACTATTTACACTGGTGTGAGATGATATCACATTGTGGTTTGATTTGCACTTCTCTAATGATAAGTAATGTTAAATATTTTTTCATATACTTCTTGACTACATGTATACATTCTTTGGAAAAGTGTCTGGTCATGTCCTTTGCCCACTTTTTAATAAAGAAGTTTGTTTTTTTCCTTGATTTGCTTAAAAATAATAATAAATTCAAGGTATTAGACCTTTCTCACATGCATAGTTTGCATTTTCTCCCATTCTGCAGGTTGTTTATTTACTCTGTTGACAGTTTCTTTTGCTGTTCAAAAGCCCTTTAGTTTAATTAGGTCTCATTTGTCAATTTTTGCTTCCTTTGCAATTGCTTTTGGCATCTTTGTCATAAAATCTTTGCTAGGGCCTATATCCAGAATGATATTTTGTAGGTTACCTTCCAGGGTTGTTATAGTTTTAGGTTTTACTTTTAAGTCTTTAATCCATCTTGAGTTGACTTTTTATATGGTATAAGGAAAGAGTTCAGTTTCCATCTTCTACATATGGCTACCCAGTTATCCCAGCATCATTTACTGAATAGGGATTCCTTTTCTCCTTGCTTGTTTTTGTTGACTTTGTCAAAGGCCAGATTGTTGTAGATGTGCAAATTTATTTCTGGGAACTCTATTCTGTTCCATTTGATTATCTGTCTGTTTAAGTACTAGTACCATGCTGCTTTGGTTACTGTGGCCTTGTAGTATTGTTTGAAGTTGGATAATGTGATCTCTCTAGCTTTCTTCTTTTTCCTTAGGATTGCTTTGAATATTGGAGCTCTTTTTACATTCCATATAATTTAAAAATATATTTCTTTTCTAATTCTGTAAAGAATGTTATTGGCAGTTTGATAAGAATAGCATTGAATTTGTAAGTTGCTTTGGACACATGGCCACTAAAAAAATATCAATTATTTCTATCCATGAGCATGGAATGTTTTTCCATTTGCTTGTGTCACCTCTGATTCCTTTGATCAGAGTTTTTGTAATACTTATTGTAGAGATCTTTCACCTCCCTGGTTAGCTGTATTCGTAGATATTTTTTGTGTGTGCCTCTTGTAAATGTGGTTGTGCTCTTGATTTGGTTCTCATTTTCAATTTTGTTGGTTTATAGAAATGCTACTGATAGTTGTAAATTGATTTTGTATCCTGAACCTTTTCTGAAGTTGTTTATCATATCTATGAGCTTTTGGGCAGTTTTTTAGTTATAGAATGAGGCTTCCTAGTTACAGAATCATATCATTTTCAAACAGAGATAATTTGATAATGTTATTTATTCTTTAAAAAAAACAACTTTTGGATTCATTACTATTTTAGATGGTTTTTCATGTCTCAGTTTCTTTCACTTCAGCCCTGATTTTAGTTATTTCCTGTCTTATACTAGCTTTGGTGCATGTTTGCTCTTGTATCTCTAGTTCCTCTAGATGTGATATTAGATGGTTCATTTGTGATGTTTCTAACTTTTCTATATGGGTTTTTATCACTATAAACTTCCCTCTTAATACGGCTTTAGCTTTGTCCTAGAGATTCTGGTAGGTTGTATCTTTGTTTTCATTAGTTTCCAAGAATTTCTTCATTTCTGTTTTAGTTTTGTATTTATTTAGAAGTCATTCAGGAGTGAGTAGTTTAATTTTCATGGAATTGTATAGTTATGAGTGATTTTTCTTTGTATTGATTGTATTTTTATTGCACTGTGATCTGAGAGTGTTTTTGATGTAATTTATTTTTTTTATTTGCTGAGGATTGTTTTATGCTTATTGAGTAGTCAAATTTAAAGTATGTGCCATGTGTAGATGACAGCAACATATATTTAGTTGTTTTGGGGTGGATAGTTCTGTAAATGTTTATTAGGCCCATTTGGTCAAATGTTGAGTTCAGATCCCAAATATCTTTGTTAGTTTACTGACTCAATAATCTGTCTAATACTTTTACTGGGATGTTGAAGTCTCCTGCTATTATTGTGTGGTTATCTAAGTCTTGTCATAGGTTTCTAATAATTTACTTTATGAATCTGGGTGCTCCTGTGTCAGGTGCATATGTATTTAGGATAATTAGGTCTTCTTGTTGAATTGAACCCTCTCTCTTTACTCATGTTGGTCTTTTGTACTTACTGCTGATTTAAAACCTATTTCGTCTGAAGTTAGAATAGAAACCTCTGCATTTTTTTCAGTTACTTTGTATATTTTGTCTCATTTCTTTACTTTGAGCTTATGGGTGTCATTGCATTTGACATGAGTCTCTTGTAGACCCATACAGTTGGGCCTTGCTACTTTATCCAACTTGCCATGCTGTGCTTTTCAACTGAGGCATTCAGCTGGCTTGCATTAAAGCTTAATATTTACATGTGTGGGTTTGATCCTACCATCTTGTTGTTAGTTGGTCATTTTGAACACTTGTTTGTGTGGTTGCTTTATACTGTCAGTGGTCTATGTGCGTGTGTATTTGTGGTGGCCAGTAACAGTCTTTCTTTTCCATATTTAGCACTCTCTTAAGAACTACTTATAAAAAAGGTCTGATGGTAACAAATTTCTTTAGATTTTACTTGTCTGAAAAGGCTCTTATTCCTCTATTTAGGGGATGCCAATTAGTCAAAAATTTGGTCTTTTTTAAAAAATGCCAAATTTCATGGTGGTTTTTAATAATTCTTCTTTATTTTTTTTTAATTTTTTCTGACTGAGTTATTTTAGAGAACAAGTCTTCAACCTCTGAAATTATTTCCTCAGCTTGGTCAATTATGCTGCTAATACAAGCAATTGTTTAATAAAATTTTGAAGTGAGTTTTTTGTTGATATCCACAAAATAACTTGGTGAGATTTTCATTGTGATTGCATTGAATCTATAGATCAAGTTGGGAAGAATTGACATCTTGCAAGTATTGAGTCTTCCTACCCATAAATATGGAATATCTTTTTGTTTATTTGTTCTTCGACTTTTTCATCAGATTTTTGTAGCTTTCCTCACATTGATTCTATACATATTTTGTCAGCTTTATATCAAAGTATTTTATTTTAAGAGTGCTAATGTAAATAGTATTGTATTTCTTAAACTTCGAATTCCATTTTTTATTAGGTATATAGAAAAGCCCCTGGGCGAGGTGTGAAGATGGACAAATAAAAAAAAGCTGGCCTGTGCTGTTCTCATTAAATGATGATAGAGTGGCCAGTAAACACTAGTTCTTTCAATGGATCATCCACGAGGCCATGTTAGGATTAATCAAGGAAGCAATAGTGCCTCATGGAGAGCAGAGAAGAGTGAGGCATGACAGCAGCCTACTTGGGATTGATGCAAAGACAAGAGTAGCTCTCTACCCTGGGGAAAGGATGAATAATTGAAAGCCCCTTGGAACCCACATTTCTGCCATAAACGTTTGCAATCCTGAGCATAGGAGATACCCCCTAAGCCCCCACCCCTGGGCCTCCAGACTGACATAAAGAGCTGCATGGAGTCTATGCAGAACTGCCACTCAGGTCCACATGGATCCCCAAGGGCCTTGAATCCCTGAGCACCCCAATGCCATCTGCCATATCTCTGCCAACAAGGGAGGCCATACTCTCTCTTGTTCCCCCAGGATAGGGGCCATATCCATGGTGCTGAGTAGTGGATAGACTGCTGGCCTTGCCTTTGCTGCACATCATCAGGCAAAGCCCCCTGGCCTGGGACCCCACCTCAGACACCCTACTTTTACTGGTGCATTCAGGCTGATGGCAGCTCTGCATTTCTCTGGGACAGAGCTCTCAGAGTTAACCAACAAGCCTACAGCTTTTGCCACTGCTGCAGCTCCTGCTTCTACTGTCCTCAAGCTGGGGAGGCAATGAAGAGCGCAAGAACTGTCTTGGGTGTCCAGCATGCTGAAGCTACCATTTGGAAAAGAAACCAGACTGTTTTCTACATGGTTTTCTGCCCCTGCTACTCTTCGCTGGGCAGAGCCTTTCAGCCTGTGCTCCCAGAGCAGCTGCACTACCTCCACCTGGTCACATCAGTTGGTGACAACTCTGAATTTCTCTGGAGTGGAATTTCCATAGACAACCCTCAGACTCTCTGTCATTGCCACTGAAGCAGTACCTGCCCTTGGTGCCCTCAGGCTGAGGAGAAAACAAAAATTGTAATCACTTTCTTTACCCTACCAGTACACCAAAGGCACAATATGGGGAGGAATCCAGTCTCTTTTCCCTGTGAACCCCTGACGCCCTGCTCTTCTCCAGGCAGGTCTCCTGGCTTGGGCCCACAGTGCAGCTGTTAGACCCCTGGCTGAACATTCCCACTGGCAGCAGCTCTGTGTCTCTCTAGGTTGGGTTTCACAGAGAAAATTGAGAGCTCCTTGGCCATTGCCAGTGTGGCAGTACCCACTCTTGATGTCCTTAGGCTGGGGAACAAAGACCTTCATCACTTTGCTTGCACATTCAGCATGCCACAGCTTTCTTAAAGAGAGGAGCCAAGTCTCTCTTCCCTGTGATGCCCCAACCACCTCCTCTTCACCAGGCAGGACCCTGTAGCTTGAACCCATAATGCAGCCTCCCATCCTTAGCCGATTGTTCAAATTGGTAGAGGCTCTGCATTTCTTTGAAGTGGAGCTCTAAGAGATAAGTGATAGGCACTCTACCATTGCCTACCCCTGCTGCCCCCACTGAGGTGGAATCAAAAAGTCTAAGCTTGCCCCAGGGCTCTGGTGCACAGCCCAGGAGTGGCAAGGCAAGATTTCTACCAGTACTCAATCTGGAGAGGAGCCCACACTCTCAGAGCATGAATGCAAACATGAGGAAATGCAGAGGAGTAATGCAGCTAAGTAAGAGCCTATCTATTGACCGTTACACTTAATGGCCTTATATAGGATAGCAGCCCAAACTACCACACCAAAAATACTTTTTAAATATCTTCCACTAAGAAACCATGGGCAAAAATTCAGCCACAAGTAAAGACCCTGAACAAAGCCTCCATCCTCTGTAAACATCCAGAAAAAAAACCAATTGTCTATACCCAAATTACACAACAGTTAAAGGAACATCAGACCACACAGATATGAACCAGCACAAAAACTATGATAACTGTAAAAGCTAGAGTGTCTTCTTACCTCCAAACAACCACATTAGCCCCCAGCAATGGTTCTTAATCTGAACGAAATGACTGAAATGACCAACAAAGAATTCAGAATTTGGATGGCAGCAAAGATCATTCAGATTCAGAAGAAAGTTGAAATATAATCCAAGGAATCTAAGAAATCCAATAAAATTATAAGAAACCGGAAAGATTAAATATACATTATAAAAATAAACAAAACTGATATGGTAGAGATTTTAAAAAAACCTCACTACAAGAATTCTAAAACACAATCAAAAGTATTAACAACAGAATAGGGCAAGCTGAAAAAAGTCTCAGACCTCAAATATTTCTTTTAAAATTCAACTCAGTCAGACAAAAATAAAGAAACAATAATTCTTAAAATAAACAAACTCCCCCCCAAAAAAATGGAATTATGTAAAGAGACCAAAACTATGACTCATTGGAATCCCTGGAAATGAGGGCGAGTAAGCAAGCAACTTTTAAAACCTATATCAGGATATCATCCATAAAAATATTTCAAATTTTGCTAGAGAGATGGATATTCAAATTCAGGAAATTTACAGAAACTCTGTGAGATACCGTGCAAGGCATCCATCCCCAAGACACACAGTCATCAGATTCTCCAAGGCCAAAGAAAAATAAATAATAATTATACAGGTATTTAGAGAGAAGGGGCAAGTCATCTACAAAGGGAACTTCATCAGTCTAACAGTGGACATTTCAGCAGAAACCCTACAAGCCAGAAGAGATTGGGGGCTTATATCCCTAAAAATATAAAAATAATAATATACAAAAGACTTCATGACTAAAACAGCAAATATACAAAAGACTTCATGACTAAAACACTTGGAACCAACCCAAATGCCCATCAATGACAGAATGGATAAAGAAAATTTGGCACACATACATCATGGAATACCATGCAGCCATAAAAAATGAGATCATGTCCTTTGCAGAGACATGGATGAAGCTGGAAACCATCATTCTCAGCAAACTAATACAGGAAGAGAAAACCAAACACTGCATGTTCTCACTCATAAGTGGGAGTTGAACAATGAGAACACATGGACACAAGGAGGGAAACAGTACACACCAGGGCTTGTCAGGAGGTGGGCCTCAAGGGGAGGGAGAGCATTAGGACAAATACTTAATGCATGCGGGGCTTAAAACCTAGGTGATAGGTTGACGGGTGTAGCAAACCACCATGGCACATGTATACCTACATAACAAACCTGCACATTCTGCACATGTATTCCAGAATTTAAAGTAAAATTAAAAAATTTTTAAAAATAAAAATTAATTTTGTAAGTATTTTATATTATTAAAATATTTTATAAATATAAAGATACAAAGATTAATATTAATAATAAATATAAAAATATAAAAAGTATGTAGGGGCATACATACTTGAAAAAAATTTCAACCAAAAATTTTACATCCAGCCTAACTAAGCTTCAGAAGCAAAAAAGAAATACAATCTGTTTCAGACAAAAAAATGCTAAGGGAATTTCTTACCACCAGACATGCCTTAAAAGAGATCCTTAAGGAGTGCTAAACACAGAAACAAAAGACTATTATAGGCCAACACAAAAACTCAGTGTAACACATAGACCATTTACACTATAAAGCAATGATACAATGAAGTCTACATAACAACAGGCTAACAATATGATGACAGGATCAAATCTGCACATGTCAATTTTAACTTTGAATGTAAATGGGCTAAATGCCCCAATTAAAAAGCATAAGGTGACTACTTAGATAAAGATGCAAGACTCAATTGTATGCTGTCTACCAGAGACCCATCTCACATGAAAGGACACACATAGGCTCAAAGGGATAGGGAAAGACCTATCAAGCAAACAGAAAATAAAGAGCAGTGTTTGCTATTCTAATTTCAGGTAAAACAGACTTTAAACCAACAAGTATCAAAAAAGACAAATAACAGCATTACATGATAACAAAGGGTTCAATTCCACAAGTAGACTTAACCATCCTAAATATATATGTACCCAATACTGGAGCACCCAGGTCTATTAAACAAGTTCTTAGAGACTTACAAAAATACTTAAATAACCACACAGAAATAGTGGGATACTTCAGTAGCCCACTCACAGCATTAGACAGATCATTGAGGCAGAATAGCACACAAAATATTCTGGACCTAACTTCAACACTTGAACAAATGAACCTATCAGACATCTACTGAACACTCCACTCAAAAATAACAGAATATTAATTCTTCTCATTTGCAAATGGCACATTCTCTAAAATTGGCCACATGCTCAGCCATAAATCAATTCTCAACAAATTTTATAAACAGAAATTAAACCAACCACTCTCAGGGCACAGTGAAATAAAAATAGAAACAAACACCAAGATCTCTCAAAACCATGTAATTACATGGAAATTCAAAAATCTACTGCTGCATGACTTTTGGGTAAATACTGAAATTAAAGCAGAAATCAAGAAATTCTTTGAAAGTAATGAAAACACAGATAGAACATACCAGAATCTCTGAGACAAATCTAAACCAATGTTAAAAATGCTGATAGCACTAAACACCAACATCAAGCAGAAAGAACTCAAATTAGCAGCCTAATATTACACCTATAAAAATGTAAAAACAAGAGCAAACCGACAACAGACCTAGAAGAATAAGAGAGATAACCAAAGTCAGAGTTGAACTGAACAAAATAGAGACACAAAGAAAACATATAAAAGACAAATGAAACCAAAAGTTTGTTCTTTAAAAGAATAAATGAGATTGATAAGATACTAGCTACACTAATAAAAAAGTGAGAAGATCCAAATAAGCACAATCAGAAATGACAACATGGATGTTAACACCGACCCCACAGAAATACAAACAACCCTAAAAGACTATTTCAATCACCCCTGTGCATACAAACTAGGAAACCTAAAAGAAATGTATAGATTCCTGGAAACTTACAACTTCCCAAAATTGAACCAGGAAAAATTGAAAACCTGAGCAGACCAAAAATGAGTTCCAAAATTGAATTAGTAATAAGAAACCTACTAACCACAAAAAGCTCTGGATCAGACATATTTATAGCTGGATTCTACCAGATGTATAAAAAAGAGCTGATACAAATCCTACTGAAATTATTCCAAAAAATGAGCGGGAGGGACTCCTCCCTAACTCGTTCTATGAGGCCAGCATCATTCTGATATCAAAACCTGGCAGAGACACAATAAGAAAAGAAAACTTTAGGACATAGATGCAAAATTCTTCAACAAAATACTAGCAAATCAAATCCATCAGCACATCAAAAAGCTAATCCACCATGATCAAGTAGGCTTCATACCTGAGATGCGAGGTTGGCTCAACATACTTAAATCAATAAATGTGATTCACTAGATAAACAGATCTACAAACAAAAAACCCATGATTATCTCAATAAATACAGAAAAGGTTTTTGACAAAACTCAACGTCCCTTAATGTTAAAAACTCTTAATAAACTAGGTATTGAAGAAACATACCTCAAAATAATGAGGGCCATATGTGACAGTCAACATCATACTGAAAGGGCAAAATGCTGCAACCATACCCCTTGAGACCTGGAACAAGGTTACGCACTCTCACCTTTCCTATTTAACATGGTACTGGTAGTCCTAGCTAGAGAAAACAGGCAAAAGAAAGAAATTAAAAGGCTTCTAAATAGGAAGAAATGAAGCCAAACTATCTCTCTTCACAGACATTGTAATTGATCACCTAGAAAACACCATGACCGTAGGCTACTCAACAACTTCAGCAAAGTTTTAGGATGCAAAATTAATGTAGAAAACTCAGTAGCATTTATACACCAATAACATTCATGCTGATAGCCAAACAAATAACACAATTTCATTCACAATATCCACAAAAATAACAAAATACCTAGGAATACAGCTAGTTAAGGCAGTAAAAGAGCTCTACAATGATTATTACAAAACACTACTGAAAGAAATCAGAAACAAGACAAACAAATTGCAGAAATATTCTATGCTCATGTATAGGAAGAGACAATATTGTTAAAATGGCCATAGTACTTAAAGCAATTTAAAGATTAAAAACTATTCCTATCAAATTACCAATGACATTTTTCACAAAATTATAAAAAATTATTCTAAAATTTATATAGAAAGTAATTCCCAAATCTTTCTCATCAAGCTTTTTGGTTAGTCCATTTGCCCCAACAGTTTTTTTATTACCTCAGTCAGCAGTGATTAATATGTCTTCCTGTAAATATTTAAAGTGAAAACCCACTGAGTACCTGCTTTGCACTGAGTTCCAAGTTACAAAGAACAAAGGCAAGCATTTTGGCCTGGTCTTCCAGAGAGCCATTAGACTGGAGAAAATAAATTATTACAATGTTTTGTAATTGAAATACATTCTGCTACCTTCTATACTGGGAATGTAAGCTGGTATTTCCAAGACTATTGCTGAAATGTGGAGTAGAGGAGGGGACCAGAGTTTGGTTAAAACACCAAAAATCTTGTTCTTACTGAAATTTAGTTATTTTTTCTTGCTTAAGCACTTTTCTGGTAGATGTATACTTTTAGTTATTTTTTAGAGTTCAAAAACAGTTGATTCTGACATATATTGTCAGTTTTTTATTGCTTTCTTGCAGAAATAAACTTTTGAAGTATTTTAATTCACTATTTTTGCACAGTTTAGCATGTTCTTTAATAGTTAATCATTCATTTACCATATGACCAGAAATCCTACTCCTAGTGATTTAACCTTAAAAGATAATAATTATGTTTATATATATATGTTATATTTATATATAAACCTATCCACAATTATTTATAGCAACTTTATTTATAAGTTCCAAGAAATAGAAACAATCCAATGTCTTTCTTTGTGTGAACGAATATACAGTGGTACATGCATACAATAAAATACTTTTCAGCAGTAGAAAGAAATAAACTACTCATACACACAGCTTGGATAAATATGAATATCATTTTCGTGAGTTACAGAAGTATCAAAGGTTACATATTGCATGATTCAATTTATACAACATAATCAGAAATATAGAAAAATAGTGATAGAGATTGATCATGGGTTGCGAGGAGTTAGCAGTGAGAAGCACGAGTGATTATACAGGACAGCAAGAAGGTATTAAATGGGTGAAGAAAATATTATGTAATCTGAGTATAGTGGTTACATAAACCAATATGCTAAAATTTGTATAACTGGAAATGAATGTTAATTTTACTGTATATTAATTTGAAAATATTTCTGTGACATTTGATTGTTTTTCTTATTGTACTTTAAGTTCTGGGATACATGGGATAAATGTGCAGGTTTGTTACATAGGTATACACGTGCCATGGTGGTTTGCCACATGCATCAACCCGTCATCTAGGTTTTAAGCCCCACATGAATTAGGTATTTGTCCTAATGATATATCTCCTCTTGCATCCCATTCCCTGACAGGACCCAGTATGTGATGTTCTTGTCCCTGTGTCCATGTGTTCTCACTGTTCAACTCCCACTTACGAGGAACAGCATGTGGTGTTTGGTTTCCTGTTCCTGTGTTAGTTTGCTGAGGATGATGGTTTCCAGCTTCATCCATGTCCCTGCAAAGGACATAAACTCATTCTTTTTTATGGCTGCATAGTATTCCATGGTGTATATGTGCCACATTTTCTTTATCCAGTCTATCATTGATGGATTTTTGGGTTGGCTCCAAGTCTTGGCTATTTTAAATATTGCTGCAAAAAACAGCAATGGTGGACACCCCACCCCCCATCAAGCTCAAGCATCCCAGGTGGAGTTCAGACTGCTGTGCTGGGCGAAAATTTCAAGCCAGTGGATCTTAGCTTGCTGGGCTCCGTGGAGGTGGGACCCGCCGAGCCAGACCACTTGGCTCCCTTGCTTCAGCTACCTTTCAAGAGGAGTGAACAGTTCTGTCTTGCTGGCGTTCCAGGCACCAATGGGGTATGAAAAAAAAAAAAAAAAACGCCTGTGGCTAGCTTGGTGTAGCCGCCCAGTTTTATGCTTGAAACCCAGGGCCCTGCTGGTATAGACACCGGGGGGAATCTCCTGGTCTGCCAGTTACAAAAGCCGTGGGAAAAGTGCAGTATCTGGGCCAGGTGCATGGTACAGTCCCTAATGGCTTCCCTTGGCTAGGAGTGGGAGTTCCCTAACCCTTTGCACTTCCCAGGTGAGGCGATGCCCCACCTTGCTTTAGCTGGCCTTCCTTGGGCTTCAACCACTGTCCAACCAGTCCCAATGAGATGAACTGGGTACCTCAGTTGGAAACGGAGAAGTCACTCACGTTCCGCGTCAATCTCGCTGGGAGCTGCAGACCAGAGCTGTTCCTATTCGGCCATCTTCTTCTTTTTTTTTTTTTCTTTTAGATGGAGTCTGACTCACTCTGTTGCCTAGGCTGTAGTGCAGTGGCATAATCTCAAATCATTGCAACCTCCACCTCCCAGGTTCAAGTGATTCTCCTGCCTCAGCCTCCTGAGTAGCTGAGATTACAGGGGTGTGCCAACGTGCCTGGCTAATTTTTGTATTTTTCATAGAGACAGGGTTTCACCATGTTGGCCAGGCTGGTCTTCAACTCCTGACCTCAAGTAGTCTGCCCTCCTTGTCCTCCCAAAGTGCTAGGATTTCAGCCATGAGCCACCGCACCCACCCAGAAAAACTTTTTCTGATGACTAGAAGAAAAAATGCATTTAACAATAACAAAGAGATTATACTACTCAGAAGCAATGACTAAAATGAAACCTTGAAACAACACATCACCAAATGAAGTTAAATAGACTTCAAACCAGAATTGGAACAAAGAGAAATAAAAGAGATGGCATTGTGTGGTAATTTTCTCAGTGGAAATAAGCAAGACACACAGCAGCTTAATAATGGAGTTTAGGCTATAAAAAATAACAATAGCACCATTGAAAAAACTATTGCCTTAATAGATTTGTGCCAAAGTAAGTGAATTTGTTGCTGCTGGCCTAATAGACAAAGTATCTGGCCCAATTGGTACTGAGTATCAATTTGACTGGATTGAAGGATGCAAAAGTATTGTTCCTGGGTGTGTCTGTGAGGGTGTTGCCAAAGGAGATTAACATTTGAATCAATGGATTGGAAAAGGCAGATCCACCCTCAATCTGGGTGGGCACAATCTAATCAGCTGCCAGTGTGGCCAGAATAAAAGCAGGCTGAAGAACATGAAAAGACTAGGGTGGTTTTGTCTTCTGGCCTACATCATTCTCCCGTGTTGAATGCTTCCTGCCCTAGAACATTGGACTCCAACTTGTTCAGCTTTTGGACTCGAACTACCTTCCTAGCTCCTCTGCTTGGAGACAACCTATTGTGGGATCTTACCTTGTTATTGTGTGAGTCAATACTCCTTAATAAGCTTCCTTTTATATATACATCTATTCTATTAGTTCTGTCTCTCTAGAGAAGCCTGAGTAATACAAGAACGAAATCAAATTCAGAATCCATTGTGTTTCTATACTGGTCAGCTTGGCTGCTAGCCAAAATGGAGTAATAGGGACCAAATTTACCATCCCACTGGAAATGACAAAAACAATGAAAATGTGTGTGTGTGTGTGTGTGTGTGTATAAAACCAAAACCTTTTTTATTTTTCAAAGATTTGTTATTATTTTTATTTATTATTCATTTGTATTTTTTAAGAGATGGGTTCTCATTCTGCTGCCCAGAGTAGTCTCAAACTCCTGGACTCAAGCCATTCTTTCACTTCAGCCTCCTAAGTAGCTGGGTGTATTAGTCCATTTTCACCCTGCTATAAAGAACTACCTGAGACTGGGTAAATTATAAAAGAAAGAGGTTTAATTGATTCACAGTTCCACATGGCTGTGGAGGCCTCAGGAAACTTAAAATCACAGCAGAAGACAAAAGGGAAGCAAGGACCTTCCTCACATGGTGTCAGGAGAGAGAAGAGAAAGTGAAGGGAAAAGAGCCTCTTATAAAATCATCAGATCTCATGAGAACTCACCCACTATCATGAGAACAGCATGGGGAAAACTGCCCCCAAGATTCAATCCCCGCCCCCACCAAGTACCTTACTTAACACATGGAGATTAAAATTTGAGATGAGATTTGCGTGGGGACACAGAACCATACCATATTATTCAGTCCCTGTCCCCTCCCAAACCTTATGCTTTCACATTTCAAAACACAATCGTGCCAGCATAAGCCACTGTACCTAGCAAAACAAAAGCTTCTGATTCACTGACCATCAGGCAAGGAAGGACAGCAATCTCCGAGAGATGGTGAAATAATAAAGTGAGTCCAACCACTGCCTGAGTTTAGTGCATTGAGAGAGTTTCGCAGCCACAGTACAATAAGCAGGGCTTGCTGAGCTAAAGAAACAAAGCTGAGAGCACAAAAATCCAAAGTAACTAAAGTTTACAGAACAGAGTACTGAGGAAGAGAGAGCTTCACAGAGAGAGAATTAAAGAGAGCTGCTGGGTTCCTCTCATGTATTCACCAAAGTACTAATCACTGCATGCATGGGAGAGAACTACTACCTGTGTGCAGGTAAAGAACCACCTAAAAAGGATTAAAGAAAACAATAACCGGCACACACAAACACACAACACACACACACACACACACACACACACACACACACGTAGTAATAGCATCTGTTCCCACCAGCCAAATGGAAAACCTCATTTTTCTTGAGACGTGAGGTAGAAAATTCAGAAAGGTCTTGTCTTTGTACCGGAAAATAATTATCATTACACTAAACTTGGCTCTGGACCCACCTAACAAATATTAAAAAGCATGACACAAAAGGATCAAAATTTTCCAAGAAATTTTCACAGTATCCCTCAACAAAGCTCAAAACCACTTACAACAATGCAAAAATTTTAAGCACCAGATGATAAAATTTACATTTGGCATTCAATAAAAAATTATCAGTTATGTGAAGAAGAAACATAATTCAAAATGAAAAGAAAAATCAATCTATTGAAATAAATCCAGAATTGACACAAATGTTAGAAACAATAAACAAGGACATTAAAGCAGTTATTAAGTATAAATGTGTTCTAAATATTCAAAAACTGAAGAAGAAACATGGAAGATATAAAAACAATTCAAGTTTCTAAAGACTTTTCTTTTTAGATGTTTGAAATGAAAAACACCAAATATAATGAACAGCAGATTTGATATCACAGAAGAAAATATTAGTGACCTTGAAGACATAGCAATAGAAACTATACAAAATGAAACACACCGAAAAAAAGACTACTGAAAAATACAGTATCAGTTCAGTCTGGAACAGAACACAGGTATCTCTTTGGAAAATAGTTCAGCAGTTTTTAATAAAATTAAACATGCACTTACAATACTACTCAGCAATTACACTTCTGAGCATTCATCCCAAAGAAATAAAACATGTTTACACAAAAACCTATACAAAGTGTTCATGGCAGCTTTATTTATGATAGCCAAACAATGGAAACATTTCATATGTCTTTCAATGTGTGAAAGATTAAACATACTGTGGTACATTCATACTATGGAATATTACTTAGAAATAAAAACGGAGGAGATCAGGCAAGAGGTCCAAATAGGAACAGCTCCAGTCTGCACCTCCCAGCGAGACCAATGCAGAAGGCAGGTGATTTCTGCATTTCCAACTGAGGTACCCTGTTCATCTCATTGGGACTGGTTAGGCAGTGGGTGCAGCCCACAGAGGGTGAGCAGAAGCAGGGTGGGGCATCACCTCACCCAGGAGGTGCAAGGAACCCGGGGCCTCCCTCCCCCAGCCAAGGGAAGCCGTGAGGAACTGTGCTATCCAGCCAGGATACTATGCTTTTCCCATGGTTTTTGCTACTCTCAGACCAGGAGATTCCCTCGTGTGCCTACACGACCAGGGCACTGGGTTTCAAGAACAAAACTGGGCGGCTGTTGGGAAGACACCGAGATAGCTGGAGGAGTTTCTTTGTTGGTTTCTCATACCTCAGTGTCACCTGGAACCCCAGCAAGACAGAAACTTTCACTCCCCTGGAAAGGGGGCTGAAGCTAGGGAGCCAAGTGGTCTTGCTCAGCAGGTCCCACTCTCAAACAGCCCAGCAAGCTAAGAACCACTGGCTTGAAATTCTCACTGCTAGCACAGCAGTCTGGAATGGATCTGGGATGATTATCCAGGAGAACTTCCCCAACCTAACAAGACAGACGAACATTCAAATTCAGAAAATACAGAGAACATCACTAAGATACTCCATGAGAGGATGAACCCCAAGACACATAATCATCAGATTCTCCAAGGATGAAATGAAGAAGAAAATGTTAGGGGCAGGCAGAGAGCAACGTCAGGTCATCTACAAAGAGAAGCCCACCAGACTAACAGCAGATCTGTCAGCAGAAACCCTACAAGCCAGAAGAGAGTGGGGGCCAATACTCAACATTATTAAAGAAAAGAATTTTCAACCCAGAATTTCATATCCAGCCAAACAACTTCATAAGTGAAGGAGAAAAAAAATCTTTTTCAGACAAGTAAATGCTAAGGGATTTTTTCATCATCAGACCTGCCTTGCAAGAGCTCCTGAAAGAAGCGCTAAATATGGAAAGGAAAAACCAGTACCAACCACTTCAAAACCACACCAAAATAGAAAGACCAATGACACAATGAAGAAACTGCATCAACTAGTGTGCAAAATAACTAGCTAGCAAAATGATGACAGGATCAAATTCACACATAACAATATTAACCTTAAATGTAAATGGCCTAAATGCCCCTATTAAAAGACAGAGGCTGGGAAACTGGATAAAGAGTCAGGACTCATCAGTATGCTGCATTCAGGAGACCCAACTCACGTGCAAAGAAACATATAGGCTCAAAATAAAAGTATGGAGAAATATTTACCAAGGAAATGGTAAGCAAAAAAAAATGCAGAAGTTTCAATACCAGTCTCTGATAAAACAGACTTTCAACCAACAAAGATCAAAAAAGACAAAGAAGGGCACTATATACTGGTAAAGGTATTGATGCAACAAGAAGAGCTAACTAATATATATGGCTACATTAAAATGTCTTAAAGAGCACAAATAGACAATCCAAGGTCACACCACAAATAACTAGAGAAACAAACAAACTCAATCTCAGCAGAAGAAAAGAAATAACAAAGATCAGAGCAGAACTAAATGAAACTGAAACAAAAAATAAGAGTTAACTAAAACAAAAAAATGGTTATTTGAAAAGATAAACAAAATTGATAGACCATTAGTGAGATTAACCAAGAAAAGAGAAAAATCCAAATAAGCTCAATTAGAAATGAAACACGATATCTTACAACCGATACCACAGAAATACAAAAGCTTACTCAAGGCTACTGTGAACATCTTTTTACAGAAAAACTGGAAAATCTAGAGGATATGAATAAATTCCTGGAAATATACAATCCTCCCAGGTTAAATCAGGAAGAAATAGAAACTCTGAACAGACCAATAACAAATAGCGATATTGAAACAGTAATTTAAAAACTGTCAACAAAAAGAACTCCAGGACAAGGTGGATTCACAGCTGAATTCTTTGTGACATTCAAAGAAAAATTGGTATCAATTTTACTGAAACTATTACAAAAGAGAGAGAAAGAGAAAATCCGCCCCCCCAAATCAATCTTGGAAGCCAGTATCACCCTAATTCCAAAACCAGGAAGGACATACAAAAAAAGATAAAAAACTACAAAGCAATATTCCTGATGAATATATGCAAAAAATACTCAACACACTAGCTAACCAAATCCAACAGCATGTCAAAAAGATAATATACTATAATCAAGTAGGTTTCATACCAGGAATGCAGGGGTGGTTTAACATATGCAAATCAATAAGTGTAATACATCACATAAAGAGAATTAAAAATAAGAATCATATGATTATCTCAACAGATGCAGAAAAAGTATTTGACAAAATCCAGCCTCTATTTATGATCAAAACCCTCAGCAAAATTGGCATAGAAGAGACATATCTCAAGGTAATAAAAGCCATCCATGACAAACACACAGCCAACATTATATTGAATGAGGAAGAGTTAAAAGCATTCCCCCTGAGAGCTCGAACAATACAGGGATGCCCACTTTCACCGCTTCTATTCAACATCGTACTGGAAGTTCTAGCCAGACCAATCAGACAAGAGAAAAAAATAAAAAGCATCCACATTGGTAAAGAGGAAGCCAACTGTCACTGTTCACTAATGATATGTTTGTATACCAAGAAAATCTAAAGACTCATCCAAAAGACTTCTAGATCTGATAAATGAATTCAGTAAAGTTTCAAGATACAAAATCAATGCTTACAAATAAGTAGCACTGCTATACAACAACAATGGCAAAGCTGAGAAATCAAGAACTCAACCCCTTTCACAACAGCTGCAAAAATGATAAAATACATAGAAATATACCTAACCAAGGAGGAGAAAGATCTCTACAAGAAAATCTACAAAACACTGCTGAAAGAAATCATAGATGACACATACAAATAAAAACACATCCCATGCTCATGGATGGGTAGATTCAGTATTATAAAAGTGACCATACTGCCAAAAGCAATCTACAGATTCAATGCAATTCCCAACAAAGTACCATCATCATTCTTCACAGAACTAGAAAAAAATCCTAAAATTTATGTGGAACCAGAAAAGATTCTGCATAGCCAAAGCACAACTAAACAAAAGGAACCAATCTGGAGGCATCACATTACCTGACTTCAAACTATCCTACAATCTACAGTTACCAAAACAGCATGGTACTGATATAAAAATAGGCATGTAGACCAATGGAAAAGAATAGAGAACCCAGAAATAAACCCAGATAATTACAGCCAACCGATCTTTGACATAGCATCAAAAACATAAAGTGAGGAAAGGAAACCCTATTCAACAAATGGTGCTGGAATAATTGGCAAGCCACATGTAGAAGAATAAAACTGAAACCACATCTCTCATTTTATACAAAAATCAACTCAAGATGGATCAGGGACTTAAATCTAAGACCTGAAACCATGAAAAATTCTACAAGGAAACATTGGTAAAGTTCTCCTAGATGTTGGCTTATGTAAAGACTTCATGACCAAAAACCCAAAAGAAAATGCAACAAAAACAAAAATAAATACATGGTGCCCAATTTAACTACAAAGTTTCTGCACAGCAAAAGAAATAATTAGCAGAGTAAACTCACAACACAGAGAATGCAAGCATATCTTCACAAACTGTGCATCAGACAAAGGACTAATATCCAGAATCTACAAGGAACTCAAACAAATCAGTAAGAAAAAAACCCAGCCCCATCAAAAAGTGGAGAAAGGACACGGATAGACAATTCTCAAAAGAACATATACTACACATGATCAGGAAACATGACAAAATTATTAACATCACTAATTATCAGGGAAATGTAAATCAAAACCACAATGTGATACCACCTTACTCCTGCAAGAATGGCCATAATAAAATAATAAAAAAAATAGATGTTGATGTGAATGTAAAGAGAACACTTTTACACTGCCAATGGGAATGTAAACTAGTACAACCACTATGGAATATGGTACAGAGTTTCCTTAAAGAACTAAAAGTAGAACTACCATTTGATCCAGCAATTCCACTACTGAGTATCTACCCAGAGAAAAAGAAGTCATTATATGAAAAAGACACTTGCACACACATGCTTACAGTGGCACAATTCACAATTGAAAAAATATGGAACGTATATGCCCATCAACCAACGAGTGGATAAAGAAAATGTGGCACCATGGAATACTACTCAGCCATTAGAAGAAATGAACTAAAGGCATTCAAAGCAACCTGGATGAGTTGAAGACCATTAAGTAAAGCAACTCAGAAGCAGAAAACAAATTTCGTATGTTCTCACTTATAAGTGGGAACTAAGCGATAAGGATGAAAAGACATATGATAGAGAATGAAATAGTGGACTTCGGGGACTCTGGGGGAATGGGGAAGGTGGTGAGGGATAAAAGATTACACATTGGGTACAGTATACACTGCTTGGCTGACAGATTCACCAAAATCTCAGAAATTACCACGAAAGAACTTGTCCATGTAATAAAAAACCCCGTTTTCTAAAAAGTATTGAAATTAAAAAAAATACTATAAATTGGGTGGCTTAAGCAGCAAGCATTTACTTGTCATAGTTTTGAAGCTCATGAAACCCAAGATCAGCGTGCCATCATGGTCAGGTTCTAGTGAGGGCTCTCATTCTGTCCATAGCAAAACTTTTATTATCTGAGCACCATTTTAGACTTTTTTAAGTTCTTAGAGTAATTTTGTCCAAAATGTCTCTGAGTCTCTCATTCTAGATTATGTTTCTTCCTGAGGAAAATTTGTTCCATTGCTTAGTAGTATGTTGCAGATCCTGATAATCTGCTAATAGCTCTGATCGGGTAAAATAAAATTTTTGAACAGTTTAAAGAACATCTGCTTAGAATGTATTGTTAGAGTTAAAGCTTAGCTCATCCATTTCTTTCATTTTCCAGAGGAGGAAACTGAAGCACAGAAAGAGGGTGGTACTTATTGAAAGTCACTGACATATTTTTATTTGATACCTGCCACATGCCAGCCTTGTTACAGAAGCCATGGATATAAACATGAATAACATATTGTTCTCACTTTCATTAATCCAGTATTGAACCTTTTTCCCATATTCTTGTCACTACACCATTGTCTTTGAAACCTGAGTGTCTAAAATCTCCTAGCAAGGTTTGCAAATGGGATGTTTGTTACAGTACACTAAAAAATGTTAAATGTGATGAAACTGAGGCATGCTTTTTTTATAAAAGACACTTGTCTGGTAATACTATGGCAATTAGAATGGTGTAGTGTTGTGTTAATCAGGTCAGTTTATTTCTCAGATACCCTAATTAAGGCCAGGCACACCATGGATCTTGGGGAGGGATTTTTAACTATCCTTTTTTTTTTTTAATTTCTGAAGATACCAAAAGAAGCCATTTCTTTAATGATTGATTTTACATATCCTCATGGGATATAAGCTACTTTGGCTTATAGCACACATTCTCATGATCTCATGACAAACTGTATATTGTTCTAAAGACCAGCTCCAGCTTTCTGAACCTGGTTTTATCCACTTAAGAAAAAGAATGGAACTTTAATGCAGAAAAGCCTGCTATTGAGTCAGGACATCCTGCTGCTAACTTTTGAGCCCAGGAGGCACAGATATTATTTTTATTATATGCTAATAGCACACAATTTTAAGTGGTTATATGAATTGTGGGTGAAAAATGTTAATGACTAAAACCAAATAAAACAACCAGCCAAATCTGATTGATTTTACTGAATACCATGTTTCTTGGGGTGATAAGATAGACAAGAAACTTATGCTTATTTGAACATACAGCTTTTTAAAAATAACCACACTTCCAAAGTAACAATGTGTAACAGTTGCCATACATACACACTGATCACCACAATGCTGTGTATGTTGCCTTAAACATTAATATAAATTCTAGATTAAATCTCATAATTTAAAGTCAGAATCAAAATGTCTATAATTGTAAGGCATTGACCTGTTCTACCATATCTTTGTGCAACAATTCCAAAACCTGATTGAACTGCACTCACCCTACCAAAATCTTTGGAAAACATTTCCTGCTAAGCCAAATCAAGTAAAAATATAAAAAAACAAGAAGGGATATTATTGTATCTTTTTTTAATTGAGTTAATTTACACAGAAAGATATTTGAAAATTTACTAATTTCTATCTAAAGTATGATAATCGCCTCATAAATAGTCATGCCTTATACTGTAAAATTTTAAATCTGGCTAAATTTTGTAATGGCTAGATCTAATAAATTTCACTCAAAGCCTGAATGATTTTAGGGTCGAGATTTATAATCATTATAGCATTGGCCAACAAAACTCTTTACATCACCCATTTAGAGCTAAACATTCTGCAGCTGTCTGCCTTTTGTGGTTGTGTGTGTGTCTGTGTGTAAAATAAGGTCACCATTTTATTTTTGGCTTTTACTTCTATTTATAAAAAGTTCACTTTTGTGAGTTCAGGTCCGGCAGAGAGCGCGGAGAGACGAAGAATGCGGCCTGCTACTCCAGGGGCCTCCAGGCCCTCCGGCCCCTGGCCGGCGGGTGAACTGGGGGGCCCCGGGACAGTCTGAGCCCTCTGCCCTGCAGATACCGGATGGAGGCCTCTGCTGTGGCTGCCCACTGGCTGTGCCCAGGCCTTGAAGCCACAGCGAACCTCTCTTCCCCCCCTCCCACCTCGGTGACTGATGGCGGGGGCGGCCTCTCCCAGCCCGAACCCCCCCGGCCCAAGCCTACCGGGCCTCCGCTAAACCTCCGCAGAGCTGTCGGGACGCAGCGCCTTTGGGCGGCTGCAGGAGTGGAGGGCCGGGAAGCATGGCGGCCGCTCGAACGCCGCGCGGCGGAGGCTGTTAGGGCGTGGAGGGCCCGGGAAAGCGGCCCAGGGACGCAGGCAGGCTAGGCCGCCTCTTTAGGCCACGGAGCCGCGCAGATCCGGGTCCCAGGTGACCACTCTGTCGCCATTGGGCGAGACCTACCTAGTCCTGAAGACAACGGACAAAGGGCTTAACCGGCCTGGTAGGTGAGCGAAGTCCCAGACGGCGACGGGTGGAACTGTTAGCGGCCATCGGGCGGTTGGTCTTCGTTCTACCAGACCTTGCTGTCGAAAGAGAGAAATGATAGAATGACAGGCCACGTTTGGCCCGTTGGAAATGCCCACCACCCTCTGGGAAGATTTACTGGCCGTTTATGGAAGGCCTGTGTATATAATATGAAAAAACTGCTCTCAACTCCACCCCAACCTTTTAATAGAAAACATTTGTCACATCTAGCCCTTCTAGATGGAAAGAGGTTGCCGACGTATGATAAAGTAGAGTTAGAAAGTCACACGTCTTGTAAATTCTCATTTGTTTAAAATAAATAATAGAAAATACATGTCTTCTGGAGATGACTTTTGGAAATGGAGTTGTTAGACGGGCTCTGGAAGCTATACGTCCACGTTTGTTCGGTGGGTTAGATGACAAGGAGCTAGAAGACCTGAGAAGGAAGAGAAGAAGGTTCTTTCCTAGACTGGTCATATTTAGAAGACATTTTCGTATTCTATCCATTGTTTTGTGTGCATTTTATTCCTCACTACTGTGTACATAGTTGACAATGCTAAGCTTTTTTGAAATGTCTGTTCTTTTTAGATGTTCTGAAGTACTGATATGTTAAAATTAGAGGTAGCAAAATCACATTTTGTAAGTATCTTTTTGTTACAATTCATAGGAAATTTTTTTGAGGGGAATGGCCAAATCACCTGTGGAGTAATACTCATTGTGTTTGTGCAGTGGTTCAGGGGAGGAGAGAGGAGGGGGAGGTGCAGAGAGCTCTATGCCATCCTTTTTACAAGATGAATCATTATCTCTGTGCATTTTGTTTTACTTATCTGTGTATATAGTGTACGTAAAGGACAAACGATTCCTAATTGACAACATCTAGTCTTTCTGGATGTTAAAGAGGTTGCCAGTGTATGACAAAAGTAGAGTAATATATTTTGTACATTTTGTTTTACAAGTCCTAGGAAAACTAATATATTTTGTACATTTTGTTTTAGAAGTCCTAGGAAAGATTGTCTTCTGAAAATTTGAGCATTCTTACCCACTAGGTTGATGGAGATGGGAAGGGTTCTAGGCCAGAATGTTCACATTTGGAAGACTCTTTCAAATTATAACTGTTGTTACATGTTTGCAGTTTATTCAAGACTGCTGTGTACATAGTGGACAAATTAACTCCTTACTTGAAACATCTAGTCTATCTAGATGTTTAGAAGTGCCTGATGTATGTTAAATGTAGAGGTAGTAAAATACCACTTTGTAAATATCTTTTTGCTAAAATTCATAGGAAATACTTTTGGAAATTGAATTTTGAAGCCACCTTTGTGAGCAGTATAGTAATGTCTATACTTGTTCAGTGGTTTAGAGGAGGTGGGAGGAAAGAAATTGCAAAAGGTAATATACTAGTGTGTTCATACTTGAACATTTCCAGACACCATTTTTCTGTATGTTTTGTGCATTTTGTTTTGCTCTGTATATAGTGTATATAATGGACAAATAGTCCTAATTTTTCAACATCTAGTTTCTAGATATTAAAGAGGTTGCCAGTGTATGACAAAGTAGTAAAATTAGCATATTTTGTATGCTTTGTGTTGAAATTCATAGGAAAACTTGTCTTCTGTAAATGACTTTTGCATAGGAATTTACTCAACCATCTCTAAGCATTACACGTGCCTGTACTTGTCCACTGGATTGAAGGCAGAGAAGGAAGAGGGGAGGGAATGATTCAAGGCCAAAGTGGTCACATTTAGAAGATACCTCAGATGATAACCATTGTTATGTGTGTGTAATTTTAACAGTGCTGTGTACGTGGTGGACAAGTATGAAATATCTAGTCTTTCTAGATATTTGGAAGTGCTTGATGTATTTAAAAGTAGTAGAATAACACTTTTTGTAAATAGCTTTTAAAAACTGATGGGAAATGCTGTTTGGAAGTGGAATTGTTGAACCACCTGGGAGGTGGGAGGGAAGAAGTTGCAAAAGGTGTTTTGCCATTGTTTATTAGAAAATTTCCGCTTAATCCATTGCCTATATGTTACGTGCATTTCATTTAACTTTGCTACACTCTATATATTGTGTATATACTGGACAAATGAGTCCGATTTTATAATATCTAGTCTCTAGATATTAAAGAGGTTGCCAATGTATGACAGAAGTAGGGTTAGTAAACTAACACATTTTGTACACTTCGTTAAAATTCATAGAAAGGCTGTCTTCTGAAAAGGACTTTCGGAAGTGAAATGATAACATCAGCTCTAAGTGACACGTGCCTATATCCACCAGGTTGGTGGTGGAGAGGAGTTGGAAGGAATGAAGCATTCTATACCAGAATGTTCCTATTTAGAAGACACTTTCAGATATAACTATTGTTACGTGTGTAGATTATTCAACACTACTGTGTATACAGCGGACAAACTTAAGTCCTTATTTGAAACAACTGGTCTTTCTAGATGTTTAGAAGTGCACAAAGTATGTTAAAAGTAGAGATAGTAAATAACACATTTTGTAGCTATCCTTTTGATATGAAATATTGTCTTGGAAATTGATCAATTCTCTGAGCAGTACAGATTATGATATTTGTGCTGGTTCAGGGGGAAGGAGGAGCACAAAGTGCAAAGGGCTTTCTACCAGTGTCCACTGTGTTTATGATGAGGCACATTGACCATTGTCCCTTATGTCTGCATTTTCATTTACTGTGCTGTGTATATAGTGTATATAAGCGGACATAGGAGTCCTAATTTACATGTAGTCGATGTTAAAGAGGTTGCCAGTGTATGACAAAAGTAGAATTAGGAAACTAATGCATTGAGTACACTTTGTGTTAAAATTCATAGGGAAGACTTCTTAAAAACAGAAGTGAAATTGTTAAAATCCACCCTAAGCATTACAGATGGCTTATAGCTGTCCACGGGGTTGGTAGAGGTGGGAAAAGGAAGGGTTCTAGGCCAGAATGTTCCTATTTAGAAGACACTCAAATTACTGTCTGTGTTATGTATGTATACCATTTATTCAATGCTACTGTGTATATAATGGAAAACTTAAGTCCAGTTTGAAACGTCTAGTCTTTCTAGGTGTTTAAAAGTGCACAACAGCCTGGTGCAGTGGCTCACGCCAGTTATCCCAACACTTTGGGAGGCCAAGGCGGGCAGATCACGAGGTCAAGAGATGGAGACCATCCTGGCCAACATGGTGAAACCCCGTCTCTACTAAAAATACAAAAATTAGCTGGTCGTGGTGGCACCCACCTGTAGTCCCAGCTACTTGGGAGGCTGAGGCAGGAGAATCGCTTGAACTCGGGAGGTGGAGGTTGCAGTGAGCCGAGATCGCACCACTGCACTCCAGCCTGGCGACAGAATGAGACTCCGTTTCAACAACAACAGCAAAAAGGTGTACAACATAGCTTAAAAGTAGAGGGCTAAAGTAACACCCCTCTAAGCATTTGTTTTCAGTACTTCCTAGCAGTGGTTGCGTAAGTGAATGCAGACTATTCATTGGGTGGTTGTGGGGACGGCAGGGAGGAAGTATGCAGGGAGAAGGGTTCTGTGCTCCTGAGATTAGTTCAGATGATCTAACTATTGTTCTATACATGCATTTTAGTTAATATTGTGTATTAAAGGATAAATAAGTCTTAATGCTCAAAAAAAAGTTCCCTTTTGTTTTTTATTTATTTATTTTTGTTTCATTATTTTTGTGGGTACATAGTTGGTGTATGTATTTATGGGGTACATGAGGTGCTTTGATGCAGGCATGTAATATGTAATAATCACATCATGGAAAATGGGGTATACATCCCCTCAAGGATTTATCCTTTGTGTTACTAAAAATCCAATTATAACATTATAGTTATTATAAAATGTACAATTAAATGATTATTATTTAGTCACCCTGCTGTGCTATCAAATACTAGGTCTTATTCACTCTTTAACTATTTTTTTGTTTGTGTGCCCATTAACTACCTCCACTTCCCCTCAAACCCTCATTACCTTCCAGCCTCTGGTAACCATCCTACTCTTGATCTCTATGAGTTCAATTGTTTTGATTTTTAGCACCCACAAATAAGTGACAACATATGAAGTTAGTCTTTCCATGCCTGACTTATTTTAATTAACAGAAAGACCTCCAGTTCCATTCATGTTGTTGCAAATGAAAAGATGTCATTCCTTTTTATTGCTGAATAGTAATCCATTGTGTATATGTACCACATTTGCTTTTTAAAAAAACTTTTATGTTAGGTTCAGTGGTATATGTGCAGATTTGTTATATAGGTAGACTTGTGTCATGGGGGCTTGCTGTACAGATTATTTCATCACCCAGGTACTAATCCTAGTGCCCGATAGTTATTTTTTCAGATACTTTTCTCCCTCAAATCTGCCACCCTCAAGTAGGCCCCAGTGTCTGTTGTTCTACACTTTGTATCCATGAGTTCTCATCATTTACCTCCTAGTTATAAGTGAGAACGTGGTATTTGGTTTTCTCTTCCTGCATTAGTTTGCTGAGGATAATGGCTTCCAGCTCCATCCATGTTCCTGCAAAAGACATGATCTCATTTTTTATGGCTGCATAGTGTTCCATGGTGTACATACACCACATTTTTTTGATTCACTCTGCCACTTATGGGCATTTTTTAGGTTGATTTTATCTCTTTGCTGCTGTGAATAGTGCTGCTATGGACACTCCCGTGTATGTCTCTTTATTAGTAGAATGATTTATATTCCTCTGGATATATATCCAGTAATGGGATTGCTGGGTCAAATGGTAATTCTGTTTTTAGGTCTTTGAAGATTATCCACACCGTTTTCCACAAGGGTTTAACTAATTTACATTCCTACCAATAATATATAAGCAATCTTTTTTCTCCACAACCTTGCCAGCATCTGTTATTTTTTAACTTTTAAATAACAGCCATTCTGACTTGTGTGAGATAGTATCTTATTATGGTTTTGATTTGCATTTCTCTAATGATCAGTGATGTTGAGCTTTTTTTTCATATGCTTATTGGCCACTTGTATGTTTTCTTTTGAGAAGTGTCTGCTCATGTCCTTTGTCCACTTTTTAATGGGTTTTCTTTTTCTTGTATATTTGGTTAAGTTTCTTATAGATGCTGGATATTAGACCTTTATCAGATGCATAGTTTGCAAAAAATTTCTCCCGTTCTGTAGGTTGTCTGTGTACTGTGCTAACAGTTTTTATGCCTGGGCAGAAGCTCTATAGTTTAAATAGATCTCATTTGTCAATTTTTGCTTTTGTTGCAATTGTTTTTGGCATCTTCATCATTAAATCTTTGCTCATTCCTATGTCCAAAATGTCTAATTTGTCTTTCATGGTTTTTATAGTTTGCGGTTTTACATTTAAGTCTTTAATCCATCTTGAGTTAATTTCTGTACATAGTGTAAGGAAGGGGTCCAGTTTCAATCTTCTGCGTATTGCTAGCCAGTTATTCCAGCATCATTTATTAAATAGGGTACCCTTTCCCCATTGCTTGTTTTTGTAAGCTTTGTCAAAGATCAGTTAGTTGTAGGTGTGCAGCCTTATTTCTGGGCTCTCTATTCTGTTTCATTGATCAATGTGTCTGTTTTGGTATCAGTACCATGCAGTTTCAGTTACTGTAGCCCTGTAGTAGTTGGAAGTTGAGTTTCATGATGCCTCCAGCTTTGTTCTTTTTGATTAGGACTTCCATGGCTATTCATTTTATATGAATTTTTAAATACTTATTTCTAGTTCTGTAAAGAATGTCATTGGTAAAATAGTTTAATAGGAAAAGCATTGGATCTAGAAATTGCTTTGGTTTGTAAGGCTATTTTAACAATATTGGAATATGGAATGTTTTTCCATTTATTTGTGTCATCTCTGATTTCATCGAGCAGTGTTCTGTAATTCTTGTTGTAGAAATATTTCACTGCCCTGGTTAGTTGTATTCCTAGGTATTTTATTCTTTTTGTGGCAACTGTGAGTGAAATTGTGTTCCTGGTTTGCTCTTGGCTTGGCTGTTGCTGGTGTAAAGAAATGCTAGTGATTTTCATACATTGATCTTGTATCCTGAGATTTTGCTGAACTTGTTTATCAGCTGAAGGAGGTTTGAGGCTGAGACTGTGGTTTTCTACATAAAGAATCATGTTGTCTGCAAATAGGGATAGTTTGACTTCCCGTATTCCTATTTGAATGCTCTTTATTTCTTTCTTTTGCCTAATTGTTCTGGCCACGACTTCCAATACTATGCTGAATAGGAGTGGTGAGAGAGGGCATCATTGTCTTGTGCTAGTTTTCAAGGGGAATGCTTCAAACTTTTGAAAATTCAATATTATATTGGCTGTGGTTTGTCATACATGGCTTTTATTATTTTGAGGAATGTTTCTTCAATACCTAGTTTATTGCAAGTTTTTAACATGAAAAGATGTTGAATTTTATCAAAAGTTTTTTCTGCATCTACTGAAATAATCATGTGTTTTTTGTTTGTAGTTCTCTTTATCTGATCTCATTTGTTGATTTGTGTTTGTTGAACCAAACTTGCATCCAGGGATAAAGGCTACTGGATTGCGGTGGATTAGCTTTTTGATGTACCACATTTTCATTATCCATTCATCTGTTGATGGGCACTTAGGTTGCTTCCAATTTTTTACTATTGTAAACAGTGCTGCAACAAATGTGAGAATGCAGATATCTTTTTTATATACTGATTTTCTTCTATTTGAGGGGTGAAGTATATACCCAGCAGTGGGATTTCTGGATTATATGTCAGCTCTCTTTTTAGTTTTTTGAGAAACATACAAATTGTTCTTCATAGTGGTTGTACTAGTTTACATTCCCAGCAGCAGTGTACAAGGATTCCCTTTCTCCACATCCTCATCCAGCATTTGTTATTGCCTATCTTTTGTCTAAAAGTCATTTTAAATGGAGTGAGATAATGTAGCATTGTAGTTTTTATTTGCATTTCTCTGATGATCAGTGATGTTGAGCACCTTTTTATGGATCAATTTGCAATTTGTGTGTCCTCTGTTGAGAAATTTCCATTAAAATATTTGGCCCATTTTTTAATATTATTAGATTTTTTTTTCCAATTGAAATGTTTGAGCTCCTTTTATATTCTGATTATTAATCCCTTGTCAGATGGGTAGTTTGAAAATAGTTTTTCCTATTTTGTGAGTGGTCTCTTCATTTTGTTGATTGCTTTTTTTGCTGTGCAGAAGCTTTTTAACTTCATGTGATCCCATTTTTCCATTTTTGCTTTGTTTGCCTGTCATGGTTGTTGGGTATTACTCAAGAAATTTTAGCCCAAATCAATGTCCTGGAGAGTTTCCCAAAGTTTTTCTGTAGTAGTTTCAAAGTCTGAGGTCTTGGGCTTAAATTTATAATCAAATTTTATCTTATTTTTGTATATGGCAAAAGATATATGTCAAGTTTTATTCTTCTGCGTAGGGATATCTAGTTTTCCCAGTACCATTTATTAAAGAGACTATCCTTTCTCAAATTGGTATTCCTAGCACGTTTGTCAAAGATGGAATCCACTGTAGGTGTATGGATTTGTTTCTGGGATCTCTGTTTTGTCCCATTTATCTATGTGCCTCTTTTTATGCAAGTACCATGCTGTTTTTGGTTACTCTAACTCAGTAGTATAATTTGAAGTCAGGTAATCTGATTTCTCCAGTTTTGATCTTTTGGTCAGGATAGCTTTGGGTACTGTGTTTCTTTTGTCATCTAATATAAATTTTAAAATTGTTTTGTCTATTTCTGTGAAGATGTAATTGGTATATTGATAGGGGTTGCAAAGGCACTGTAGATTGCTTTTGGTTGTCTTGACATTTTAACAATATTGATTCTTCCAGTCCATGAGCATAAAATATCTTTTCATTTTTTGTGTTCTCTTTAAATTCTTTCATCAGTGTTTTGCAGGGTTTTTTTGTAGAGTTCTTTCATGTCATTGGTTAATTTTTATGTATTTAATTTTATTTGTGGCTATTGTAAATGGGATTACTTTGTTTCTGTTTTAGATTGTTCACTGCTGGCGTATAGAAATGCTAATGATATTTTATGTTGATTTTGTATCTGCAAATTTACTAAATTTGTTTATTCTAATAGTTTTTGTTGAAGTCTTCATATTTTCAAATATAAGATCGTGCAATCTGCAAACAAGGATAATCTGACTTCTTCCTTTCCAATTTGGATAAACATTTTTTCCTTCTCTTGTCTGATTGCTCCAGCTAGAACTTCCAGAACTATGTTGAACAACAGTGCAAAAGTGGGCATTCTTGCCTTGTTCCATATCTTAGAGGACAGGCTTTTAGTTTTTCGTCATTCATTGTGATACTAGCTGAGGATCCGACATATATGGCTTTTCTTATGTTGACATATGTTCCTTGTATATCAAGGTTTTTGGAGTTCTTATCATGAAAGTGTGTTAAATTTTATCAAATGCTTCTTTGGCATCAATTTAAATGATAATATGGCTTTGGCCTTCATTCTGTTGATATGATGTATCACATTAATTGATTTGCATATGTTTACCTATCTTTGCATCCCTGGGATAAATCCCACTTTGTCAAGATTAACAATCTTTTTAGTGTATTGTTGTGTTCAGTTTGTTAGTATTTTGTTGAGCATTTTTGCTCAATATTCATCAGAGATATTCGCCTGTAGTTTTCTTTTTTTTGATGTGCCTTTGTCTACTTTGGGTGTCAGGGTAATACTGGTCTAATAAGATGAGTTTGAAAATATCCTCTTCTCTATTTTTGGAATAGTTTGGGTAATATTGGTATTAGCTTTTCTTTAAATGTTTGGTAGAATTCAGCAGTGAAAGCATCAGATTCCAGGCTTTTTTTTTTTTTTTACTAGGAGACTTTTTATTATGGCTTAAATTTCATTACTTGTTATTGGCCTGTTCAGATTTTGGATTTCAGCCTGGTTCAGTGTTGGTAGGTTGTAGGTGTCTAGAAATTTATACATCTCCTCTAGAATTGCCAAATTTTTTTTGCGTACAGTTGCTGATAGTAGCCAGTAATGATCCTTTGAATTTCTACAGTATCAGCTATAATGTCTTTTTCATCTCTGATTTTATTCATTTTGATCTTCTCTTTTTTCTCAGTTAGTCTGGCTAAAGTTTTGTCTATTTTGTTTAACTTTTAAGAAACCCAGCTTTTTGTTTTATTGATCTTTTGCATTGTTTTCTTCATTTTAAATTCATTTATTTCTGTTCTGATCTTTATTATTTCTTTCCTTCTACTAATTTTGGGTTTAGTTTTCTCTTGCTTTTCCAGTTTCTTTAAGATGCATCATTAGGTTATATATTGGAAAGTTTTTTTTTCTTTTTTGATGTAGGCACTTATAGCTATAAATTTTTCTCCTAGTATTGCATTTGCTATATCCTGTAGGTTTGGTATGTTGTGTTTCCATTACTATTTGTTTCAAGAAATTTTTTAATTTTCTTCTTAATTTCTTAATCAACCCACTGATCATTCAGGAGCATATTGTTTAATATCTGTGTGTTTGTAGAGTTTCCAAAATTTCTCTTTTTTGATTTGCAGTTTTATTCCATTGTGGTCAGAGAAGATGCTTAATATTATGTCAATTGTTTTGAATTTTTAAAGACTTGTTTACCTCACATATGGTCTAGGCTTAGAATGATCCATGTGCTGAGAAGAATGTGTATTTTGCTGTTGTTGTATAAAATGTTCTGTAAATATCTATTTAGATCCATTTGATCTATAGTGCAGATTAAGACTGCTGTTTCTTAGTTCATTTTTTGCCTGAAAGTACTGTCCAATGCTGAAAGTCAGTTGGTGAAGACTGCAGCTATTATTGTATTCAGATCTAGCTTTCTTTAGCTCTAAGAATATTTGCTTTATATATCTGGGTGCTCCAATGTTGGTCCATATATATTTATAATTTTTATGTCCTCTTGCTAAATTTACCCCTTTATTGTTACATAATTACTCTCTTTGATACTTTATATAGTTTTTGTCTGTAAATCTATTTTGTCTGATATATATAAAGCTACTTCTCTGGGTGTGGTAGTGAACACCTGTAGTCCCAGCTACACAAGAGGCTGAGGTAGGAGAATCTTTTGAGCATAGGAAGTCGAGGCTGCAGTGAGCCATGTTTGTGCCATTGCACTCCAGCCTGAGTGACAGAGCAAGACCCTGTCACAAAAAAATATATATAGATGATAGATAGATAGATAGATAGATACATAGATACACAGATAGGTAGACACTCTTACTCTTTTTTGATTTCAGTTGGCATGGGATATCTTTTTCCATCACTTTATTTTCAACCTATATGTGTGATTATAGGTGAAGTGTGTTTCTTGTAGGCAATAGATCATTGGGTCTTGCTTTTTTGTCCATTCAGCCACTCTGTGTCTTGATTGGAGGGTTTAGTCCATTTACATTCAGTGTTATTGGTAAGTAAGCACTTACTCCCACTGTCTTGTTATTTGTTTTCTGGTTGTTTTATAGTCTTCCTTTCCTTTTTTCCATTCTTTCTGTCTTCCTTTTAGTGAAGGTGATTTTCTCTGGTGGTATTATTCAATGTTTTGCTTTTTATTTTATTTTTGAATTTGTTGTATGTTTTCTGATTTAAGGTTACCGTGAGGCTTATAAGTACTATCTTGTAACACATTGTTTTAAATTGACAAGAACTTAACACTGATTGCATGCAAAATAAATAAGCAAAGATAAAACTAACAAAAACTCTATATCTTAACCTTATCTCCCTACTTTTTTACTTTGTTTCTCTTTATGTCTTATTGTACTATGTCTAGAAAACATGTTGCACGTATTATTTTTGATTGGTTTATCATTCGGTCTTTTAATTTAAGAGTACACACTACCATAACAGTGTTATAATACTCTGTGTTTTTCTGTGTGCTGTTAGTAGTGAGTTTTGTACCTTCAGATGAATTATTGTTGCTCATTAACATCCTTTATCTTCTGATTCAATAACTCCCGTTAGCATTTCTTGTAAGAGAGATCTAGTCTTAATGAAATTCCTCAGATTTTGTTTGTCTGGGAAGGTCTTTATTTCTCCTTCATACTTAAAGGATACTTTCACTGCATACATAATTTTAGTGTAAAATTTTTTTTATTTCTTTAGCACTTTAAATATGTCATGCAACTCTCTCCTGGCTTGAAAGGTTTCTACTGAAAAGTCTGCTGCCAGGTGTATTGGAGCTCCATTGTATATTATTTGTTTCTTTTCTCTTGCTGCTTTTAGGATTCTTTCTTTATCCTTGACCTTTGTGACTTTGATTATTAAATGCCTTAAGGTAGTTTCCTTTGAGTTAAATCTGCTTATGGTTTATAATGTTCTTGTGCTTAGATATTAATACCTTTCTCTAGGTTTCTAAAGTTCTCTGCTAGTATCCCTTTTAATAAACTTTCTACCCCTATTTATCTTCCTTCTCTTTAAGGAAAATAATTCTTAAATTTGCCCTTTTGAGACTATTCTCTAGGTCTTGTAGGTGTATTTCACTGTTTGTTATTCCTTTTTTTGTCTCCTCTTACTGTGTGTTTTCAAATAGCCTATTTTCAAGCTCATTAATTCTTCTGCTTGATCAATTCTGCTATTAAGAGACTGATGCATTCTAGAGTATGTCAATGGCATTTTTCAACTCCAGAATTTTTTCTTGATTCTTTTAATTATTTCAATCTCCTTGTTAAATTTATCTCATAAAATTCTGAATTCCTTCTCTATTATCTTGAATTTCTTTGAATTTCATCAAAACAGCTATTTTGAGTTTACTATCTGAAAGGTCACATATCTCTGTTCTTCCAGTACTTGTCCTTGGTGCCTTACTTTGTCTGCTGAGGTCTTATCTACCTAGATGATCTAAATGCTTGAAGATGTCCATCTATGTCTGGGCATTGCAGAGTTAGGTATTTATCGTAGTCTTCACATCCTGGTCTTGTTCATGCCCATCCTTCTTGGGAAGGTTTTTCAGGTATTTGGAGAGATTTGAGGCATAAACTCAACAACACTGTGGTTCTTGCTTGTTGAGGTACCACCTTGGTGGTCTTGGATAATATCTAGAAGAATTAACTGGATTACCAAGCATAGTCTCTTTTTTTCTTCCCTTAATTTCTTCCAAACAAATGGAGTCTCTCTCTCTGAGATGAGCCACCTGGATGTGTAGTGGGGGTAACACAAGCGTCACTGTGGCCACCACCACAGGGATTGCACTGGTTCAAAACTGAAGCCAGCACAACACTGAATTTCACCCAAGGCCCACCATTGTAACCACTACATGGCTACCACCTAAGTTCACTTAAGCCCCTGGGACTCTACAATCAGCAAGTGGCAAAGCCAGCCAGGTTTTTGTCCCTTCCTTCAGGGAAGTGAATTCCCTTAGGCCCTAGGTGGGTCCAGAGAGTCTGTCTGGGAGCCAGACATTAAAGATAAAAATCTTAGAAATTTACCTGGTGTTCTACTCTAGTGTGACTAAGGTGGCACTCAAACAGCAAAATAAATTCCTTCCTACTCTTTCCTCCTTTTTCCACAGGTAAAGGAATCTTTCCCTATGACTGCCACCACTACTAGCCCATGGGGTTTCTGCCAGGCCATCATCAACTTGCACTTAAAGCCTTAGGGCTCTTCAGTCAGTTTGTGATAAATGCTGCCAGGCCTGGGAGTTACTCTTTGACTCAGGGCAGGTCTAGAAATGTTGACGAAAAGCCTAAACCTGGACTCAGTGACCCCAAGTATCTTGTTGGTGCTCTACCCCACTGTGGCTGAGCTAGTTCCTAAGGTGCAAGACAGATTTTTATTTACTTTTCCCATGTTTTTCTCAAACAGGAGTCTCCATAGCCACCACATCTGGGAACGTGTTGGGTCACGCCTGGAGCCCACACACCTCAAAGCCCAATGTCCATGACATGTTTCCTGGGTATTTCTGTTGGTTATTAAGGGCCCAGGGGCTTTTTAGTTATCAGGTGATGAATCCTGCCAGGTCTCAGCTGTGACAAGGCAGCACTGAGGTCAATGTAAAATCTCACATTTGCTGTATTCTCCCTCTCACAAACACAGATTTCTTCCCACTATGTGGCTGCTGCCAAAGAGTGTATGAGGAGTGACACAATTACTCCATTAGAAACCCTGGTTGATGTCTAAGAAGGTCACATGTCCCCCCAGTCCACGGGCTCTGAGCCCAGCTCAGCACTAGAACTTGCCTAAGAATTGCAGTCCTTGTGGCCTAGATGTCTCTCAAGTTCACTTAGGGCACCAGAGCACTCCAGCTTGCAGTGGTGAGGCTTGTGGAAACTCAAGCTCCAGTGCTGAGATGGGTAATTTCCCTCTGGCTAGGGCTGATCAAAGTGCTCCTTCCACGAGTAGATGTTAGGTGAATACAGCCTGGTTCTGCTTTCCGCTGTGATAGGACAGCACAAAGTTCAATGCAAATCCTCACAATTGCTGTGCTCTGCATCTCCTAAGCACATGGAATATCCATGTCATGTGGCCACTGCAAGGGGATGGAGGACGGTTGGTGTTGGCACTTCAAGATGATCTTTCCTACTCTCTCCAGTGTCTCTTTCAGTGATATAAAGTTAAAACCAGGTACTGTGATTGTTCACCTGACTTTTGGTTCTTGATGATGCTTTTTGTGTGTAGTTAGTTGTTAAAATTTGGTCTTCCAGAAGGGGGATAAATTATGTAACCTTCTATTCTGCCATCTTACTCCACCTAAAAAGTTTCCTTTTAATTGAAGAAAACTACCTGCTAAAAAGTTCTAGGAAGAAAAAAATGCCCAAATGACTTTTAGTTTATTATGTTTCCTTGGAAAACAGGTGTGTGTGTGTGTGTGTGTGTGTGTGTGTGTGTGTGTGTGTGTGTGTATGTGTTGTCAGGTGTATCCAGTGAATCTCGGGAGGCCTGAAGGAACAAAGCCATGAAAGAGCAGATGGTACAAAGGCAAGGTTTGGGATCTGAAACATTATGTTAATATCTGAGTCTAGGTTCAAGCAGTGAAATTAAACTGAAGGTAAGGCAAATTATAACTTTTCCTTAAGGAGCAGAAAGCACTATTCAAGTGACTTTATACATCAAAACCCTCAGATTCTGAAGTGACAAGGAACTACATCCTATTTCCCTTGCTTCAATGTTTGTGGCTTTGTGCACATGAATGGCTTGTCCTTTAAACAGAGGCTGTATTTAGAACACAAGTAATACTTGTGCTTTAATATCACATAGCTTCTACAACTGAAGAAGGTTTTCTGGATCATCTATATTCATTCTTATAATTCAACAAGGGAGAAAAATTACATTAAAATTTCTAACATATATACATCTACAGTAAAATATCTGAAATAAATATCTTAAAAATATAATAGTGTATTATAGACATATAGTTTTAGTAAAAAGAAGAGTGATATATGAATTATAAAATCAATTACAAAATATTTTTATATCTCAATAATTATTCAAAATTCCTCTTAAACATTTTTTTAATCTTTACTGGTAGGAATTATTCACTTCAAACAAAACAAAATCATGCATGAAAACTCATTTATCTCTAGATCTACCATTTCATTGTGCCATAACAATATCTCATGTTAGGCAATGCCAATAAATTTTACTCAGAATATATAAATATAAACACAATTTTTAAGATCTGTTTATTCTCTATCTTAACCTCCAACCCCACAGAAAAAAATTCAGCATGACAACCATATTTCATAGGGAATAGATTATAAGAGCCAAATCAGTATTTCTGTTCCCATTTTCACATTCTGCTTGTTGTTCCTAGAGTCATATTTCAGTATACCATCCAGAATAGCTTGATTTCTAGAAGTGAATAAAGATGATTAGAAGGGGCCAGATAGAGCTGCTCATCAGGGTAAGCTAGGTCCTGTCAGTCTCTGCCTTTTCCAGCCATTTCTTTGTAGGTACTGTTGGGAACAGGCCCCAAAATCTGGCCGTAAACTGGCCCAAAAACTGGCCATAAACAAAATCTCTGCAGCACTGTGACATGTTCATGATGGCCTTGATGCCCACGCCGGAAGGCTTTTGGTTTACAGGAATGAGGGCAAGGAACACCTGGCCCACCCAGGGCGGAAAACCACTTACGTCGTTCTTAAACCACAAACAATAGCATGAGCGATCTGTGCCTTAAGTACATGTTCATGCTGCAGATAACTAGCCAGATCCCATCCCTTTATTTTGGCCCATCCCTTTATTTCCCATAAAGAATACTTTGAGTAAATCTTATGACTGGCTTGCTGTTAGTAAATATGTGGGTAAATCTCTGTTCAAGGCTCTCAGCTCTGAAGGCTGTGGGACCCCTGATTTCCCACTCCACACTCTATATTTCTGTGTCTGTGTCTTTAATTCCTCTAGCGCCACTGGGTTAAGGTCTGCATGGCCAAGCTGGTCTCGGCAGATACAAAAGAACTTCAAATTGTGAGCTCAACCTTGCTAATAAATTAGTAATCCATTATCACCGACAGGTAAAATCTAAAACTAGTTGTCTTATTCTCATTTTTAATTCTGGTGTTTCTAGACCAAATCCTGGACCCACACAAGTCCTCCAAAATGCTTATCTTCCTCCTCAGAACCATCTCTCCCCAAGCTTGTATTATAGCTACTCAGTCCTTCTGTCTCAGCTTCTGCCTTATTCTTTTTAATTTATCAGTTAGGACTTTTGGTCACAAACAACAGAGTATGCACTGGACCCTTTGCTTGAATAAAATACACTAAGACTTGTTTGTTCGTTATTTTCTTCCCGTTTCAAAGTTCAGGAAGGAGGTCTTAAGTTAGCTTCATTTTGGTCACTTGCTCATCCCTTAGAGGAGGAAGTGGGGCATAACTATAGACCCACCAGACTGTATGCAGTGGGGAAGAGGTGATGCCACACAATTAAATTAAGGTACTAAATAACAAAGGGAAATTAATGCTGTCAGCCTAAACCAACAAATATCCATGATGTTGAATATTTTCTAGCTTTCCCATGCTTGCTTGAGCAGTATTCTTGGCCTTTTCAAAAACACCTACCTAGTTCTTGAAAATGTATTCATCTCAAAAGCCAGACCTTACTTTTTATATCCCCAGCTATTGGCTAGATATCTTCCCAAAACTGCACAGATGGCAAAAAAAAAAAAAAAAAAAAAAAAAAAAAAACTAAAATTACCAAAAATCCTTATGCCTTAATGCAAGTAATGCAAGTATTGTCCCTGGCTGAAAACTGCAACTACTAAGCAGTACCTGTCAGGTCAAACTCAAATAGAGCTCATTTACTATGCATCCTTGGAAAGTGTGATTTTAACTTCAAGCCACCCATACGGGGTCCAATTCTGGAACCAGAGCCTGGTCCTTTCCATCTTCTGCTTACTCTCTTTTCATTCAGAATCCAGCTTTTGAGGTCTCAGCATACCTCACAGGTAAAAACATCTTGTATGTCAGGCAGTAGAATACATACAGAACCAGTCCTTTAATCTCTAAGTTTAATTTTGAAGTAGCATCCAAATAATATGACAACAGGCAGGAGAAAACAGTTCCTTTGTAAGCCTTAATTGTAAGTTACAATGTTTGTCAAAGTGTGGTGTGCTGACCACTTGCATCAGAATCAAGAAAGCTTGTTAAAAATGAAAAGCCCTGGGCTTTACCACAAAATACAATGAATTGCAATCTCAGATGACAAAACTCATACATTTGAAATTTTAATACATACCACAAGTAATTTCTATGCACATTGAAGTTTGAGAACAGTGGGCATGAGGTTACCTGCTATATGGCAATGGTAACTCTCAATAGGCCAACTGAGCTGAGAGAAAAGGAATTCAGGGGACTAAGACTCAGAAGTCTAAGTAAGCTATCAGCAAGTAGCATGAACCTGGCTATTGGTGTAGGATTCAGGGAAGAGGACTCCAGGTAAAAAGGAGGAATGAACAGAAGCAAAACAAAATTCGAGTCCTAGCTATCCTGGGGTATAAGGCAGGATACCAAGGTAACAGAGACTTAGGCACAGAAAGCAGTGTTAAAAACCAATTACCAGAATTGCGAGTAAGATGAGAACCCAGTATCAGAAACAAACACAATAGGATTTATCTAAAGCAGCATAATTTCAGGGCCACATCATAAGTAACTTGATGCTGAGTCACAGAGTGTTGATGGAGATTCTTATAACCTTATATTCTGAAGTCAGTGGTTCCAGGCTAATCCTGTAGGTGAGAACAAGTGGTCACAGCTATGGCAATATAAGACTAAGGAAGTTTAAAATCAAGCAAAACCCAACACCCAGAAATAAAAAAAAAAAATGCTAGTCATGGTAAATTTCTTTCCTGGAGCAATCCTTTATGATGTTGCTACGAAGTTAATCTTTTACCTCCACTATGAGAGATAATGAATAGGTTTGCTCACCACACATAACAGGCATAAAGAAACAGCAAAAGAAAGAGAAATTGATCAAATCAAAGGGCATTGCGCAGAAAAAAAGAGAAAAATAATGAGAGAAGACAATGGAACGGAAAGAAACAAGATAAGAAGAAATTTGGAGAAAAGAGAAAAAAGCAGGGAGAAACAGAAATGTCTATAGTAGAACTGCACAAACTTCTTGCAAGAGGCATTGCAACAGAAAGAGTGGAAGTCTAAGAGGAGAAGAAGTATTTCAGCTCCAGAAATTAATATGCAGTCATATCTCACTTTATTGTACTTCACTTTATTGTGCTTCACAGACATTGCATTTTTACAAACTGAGGGTTTTCAGCAACCCTGAATTAGCAAGTCTACCAGTGCCATTTTCCTAACAGCATGTGCTCACTTCGTGTCTCTGTATCACATTCTGGTAATTCTCACAATATATCAAACATTGTTATTATTTTATCTGTTATGGTAATCTTTGATCAGTGATCTTTGATGTTACTATTATACCTGTTTAGGAGCACCACGAACCGTGTCCATGTAAGTCTGCAAACTTAATGGATACATGTTGTTTGTGTTCTGACTGCTCCACTGACTGGCTGTTCCCCCTTCTCCCTCCCTCTCCTCAGGCTTCACGGTTCCCTGGGACACAACAGTATTGAAATTAGGCCAACAAATAACCTTACAATGGCCGTTAAGTGTTCAAGTAAAATGAAGAGTTGCACATCTCTCACTTTAAATCAAACGCTAGAGATGATTAAGCTTAGTGGAGAAAAGCCAGGTCAAAAAGCTGAGTTAGGCTGAAAGCTAGGTCCCTTGTGCCAAACAGTTAGTCAAATTGTGAGTGCAAAAAAAAACTGTTCTTGAAGAAAATTCAAAGTGCTATTCCGGTGAACACAGAAATGATAAGAAAGCAAAAGAACCTTATTGCTGATATGGGGAAAGTTTAAGTTGTCTGGATAGAAGGTCAAACCTGCCACAACATTCCCTTTAGCCAAATCCTAATCCAGAGCAAGGCTAGAACTCTCTTGAACTCTGTGAAGGCTGAGAAAGGTGAGCTAGCTGCAGAAGAAAAGTTTAAAGCTAGCAAAGATTTGTTCATGCGGCGGAAAGGAAAAAAAATCTGTCCCTGTAACATAAAACTGCAAGATGAAGCAACAAGTGCTTATGTAAAAGCTGTAGCAAGTTATCCAGAAGATGTAGCTAAAATAATAGATGAAGGAGGCTACACTTAACAACAGTTTTTCAATGTTGACAAAACAGCTATATACTAAAAGTAGATGCCATCTAGGACTTTAATAGCTAGGGAGAAGAAGTCAATGCCTGACTTTAAAGCTTCAAAAGAAAGGCTGACTTTGTCATTAGGAGTTATACAGTTTTGAGTTGAGTTGAGCCAATGCCCATTTATTAGCCATTCTTAAATTTGTAGGTCCCTTAAGAATTATGGTAACTGTACTCTGCCTGTACTCTATAAATAAAACAGCAAAACCTGAATGATAGCACATCTGTTTTCCAGCATTAATGTACTGAATATTTTACACACAATATTGAGATCTATTGCTAAGAAAGAAAAATTCTTTTCAAAATATCACTGCTAGTTGAAAATGCGCCTGGTCACCCAAGAGGTCTGATGGAGATTTACCAGTAGATGAATGTTATTTTCATGCCTGCAAACACAACATTCATTCTGTAGCCCATGAATTAAAGAGTAATTTTTACTTTTAAGTCATATTATTTAACAAACACATTTTGTAAAGCTATAGCTGCCTTAGATAGTGATTACTCTGATGTATTTGAGCAAAGTACATTGAAAACTTTCTGGAAAGAATTCACCATTCTAAATGCCAGTAAGAACATTTGTAATTCATGGGAGGAGGTCAATTTTATCAACATTAACAGGAGTTTGGAAGAAGTTGATTCCAACCCTCATAGATGACTTTGAGTGGTTAAGAACTCATTAGAGGAAGTCACTGCAGATGTGGTAGAAACAGAAAGAGAGCTAGAATTAGAAGTGGAACAGAAGATATGACTGGTTTGCTGTTGTAATCTCATGATAAAACATAATTGGATGAAAAATTGCTTTTTATGGATGAGCAAAACAAGTGATTTTTTAGATGTAGTCTACTCCTGGCGAAGATTCTGTGAACGCTGCTGAAATGGCAATAAAAGATTTAGAATATTACATAAACATAGTTGCTAAAGTAGTGACAGAGTTTGACAGGTCTAATTCCAATTTTGAAAGTTCTACTGTGGGTAAAATGCTAACAAACATCATTGCATGCTACCAAGAAACCTTTCATGAAAGGAAGAGTCAATGTAGATGACAAACTTCACTGTCTTTTGTGTGTGTGTGTGTGTGTGTGTGTGTCTGTGTGTGTCTGTGTGTGTGTCTGTGTGCGTGAGATGGAGTCTCACTCTGTCGCCCAGGCTGGAGTGCTGTGGTGATCTCGGCTCACTGCAAGCTCCGCCTCCCAGGTTCACGCCATTCTCCTGCCTCAGCCTCCCGAGTAGCTGGGACCGCAGGTGCTCGCCACCACACCCGGCTAATTTTTTGTATTTTTAGTAGAGACTGGGTTTCACCATGTTAGCCAGGATGGTCTCAATCTCCTGACCTCGTGATCCGCCCGACTCGGCCTCCCAAAGTGCTGGGATTACAGGCATGAGCCACCGTGCCCGGCCTTCACTGTCTTTTTTTTTTAAAAAAATTACCACAGGTGCCTCAACCTTCAGCAGCCACCACCCTGATTAGTCAACAGCCATCAACATTGAGGCAAGACCCTCCACCAGCAAAAAAATTAAAACTCACTTAAGGTTCAGATGATCATTAGCATTTTTAGCAATTGAGTATTTTTTTAAATTAAGATACATCCATTGTTTTTTAGACATTATATTACTGCACACTTAATAGACACACTTCAGTATAGTGTAAACATAAACCTTTATGTACACAGGAAAACTAAAAAAGTTTTGTGACTCACTTTATTGTGATATTTGCTCTATCACGGTGGCATGGAACTAAACCCACAATATCTCTAAGGTATGCTGTAGTCATAAAGAAACGTATCAGGCTGGGCGCGGTGGCTCACATCTGTAACCTCAGCACTTTGGGAGACCGAGGCAGGCAGACCACGAGGTCAAGAGATCAAGACCACCCTAGCCAACATAGTGAAACCCCATCTCTACTAAAAATACAAAAATTAGCTGGGCTTGGTGGTGCATGCCTGTAATCTCAGCAACTCGGGAGGCTGACGCAGGAGAATCGCTTGAACCCAGGAGGCAGAGGTTGTGGTGAGCTGAGATGGTGCCACTGCACTAGAGCCTGGGCAACAAAAGTGAAACTCAATCTCAAAAAAGAAAGAAAGCAAGAAAGCAAGAAAGAAAGAGAGAAGGAGGGAGGGAAGGAAGGAAGGAAGGAAGGAAGGAGGGAAGTCAGCATAGAGCAATAGAGTAAAATTGTGTAGTAGGAAAGAAACAACATAATAGTTAATGAACTGGGGGGAGGAGCCAAGATGGCCGAATAGGAACAGCTCCAGTCTACAGCTCCCAGCGTGAGCAACACAGAAGACGGGTGATTTCTGCATTTCCATCTGAAGTACCGGGTTCATCTCATTAGGGAGTGCCAGACAGTGGACGCAGGTCAGATGGTGCGCGCACCGTGCGCGAGCCGAAGCAGGGCGAGGCATTGCCTCACTCGGGAAGCGCAAGGGGTCAGGGAGTTCCCTTTCCTAGTCAAAGAAAGGGGTGACGGAGGGCACCTGGAAAATCGGGTCACTCCCACCTGAATACTGCACTTTTCTGACGGGCTTAAAAAACGGCGCACCAGGAGATTATATCCCGCACCTGGCTCGGAGGGTCCTATGCCCACGGAGTCTGGCTGATTGCTAGCACAGCAGTCTGAGATCAAACTGCAAGGTGACAGCGAGGCTGGGGGAGGGGCGCCCGCCATTGCCCAGGCTTGCTTAGGTAAACAAAGCAGCAGGGAAGCTCGAACTGGCTGGAGCCCACCACAGCTCAAGGAGGCCTGCCTGCCTCTGTAGGCTCCACCTCTGGGGGCAGGGCACAGACAAACAAACAGACAGCAGTAACCTCTGCAGACTTAAATGTACCTGTCTGACAGCTTTGAAGAGAGCAGTGGTTCTCCCAGCACGCAGCTGGAGATCTGAGAACGGGCAGACTGCCTCCTCAAGTGGGTCCCTGACCACTGACCCCCGAGCAGCCTAACTGGGAGGCACCCCCCAGCAGGGGCAGACTGACACCTCACACGGCTGGGTACTCCAACAGACCTGCAGCTGAGCGTCCTGTCTGTTAGAAGGAAGACTAACAAACAGAAAGGACATCCACACCAAAAACCCATCTGTACATCACCATCATCAAAGCCCAAAAGTACGTAAAACCACAAAGATGGGGAAAAAACAGAGCAGAGAAACTGGAAACTCTAAAAAGCAGAGCACCTCTCCTCCTCCAAAGGAACGCAGTTCCTCACCAGCAACGGAACAAAGCTGGAAGGAGAATGACTTTGATGAGCTGAGAGAAGAAGGCTTCATACGATCAAATTACTCCGAGCTACGGGAGGAAATTCAAACCGAAGGCAAAGAAGTTGAAAACATTGAAAAAAGTTTAGAAGAATGTATAACTGGAATAACCAGTACAGAGAAGTGCTTAAAGGAGCTGATGGAACTGAAAACCAAAGCTCGAGAACTACGTGAAGAATGCAGAAGCCTCAGGAACCGATGTGATCAACTGGAAGAAAGGGTATCAGCGATGGAAGATGAAGTGAATGAAATGAAGTGACAAGGGAAGTTTAGAGAAAAAAGAATAAAAAGAAACGAGCAAAGCCTCCAAGAAATATGGGACTATGTGAAAAGACCAAATCTACGTCTGATTGGTGTACCTGAAAGTGATGGGGAGAATGGAACCAAGTGGGAAAACACTCTGCAGGATATTACCCAGGAGAACTTCCCCAATCTAGCAAGGCAGGCCAACATTCAGATTCAGGAAATACAGAGAACGCCACAAAGATACTCCTCGAGAAGAGCAACTCCAAGACAAGTAATTGTCAGACTCACCAAAGTTGAAATGAAGGAAAAAATGTTAAGGGCAGCCAGAGAGAAAGGTCGGGTTACCCTCAAAGGGAAGCCCATCAGACTAACAGCGGATCTCTTGGCAGAAACTCTACAAGCCAGAATAGAGTGGGGGCCAATATTCAACATGCTTAAAGAAAAGAATTTTCAACCCAGAATTTCATATCCAGCCAAACTAAGCTTCATAAGTGAAGGAGAAATAAAATACCTTACAGACAAGCAAATGCTGAGAGATTTTGTTACCACCAGGCCTGCCCTACAAGAGCTCCTGAAGGAAGCGCTAAACATGGAAAGGAACAACCGATACCAGCTGCTGCAAAATCATGCCAAAATGTAGAGACCATCGAGACTAGGAAGTAACTGCATCAACTAACGAGCAAAATAACCAGCTAACATCATAATGACAGGATCAAATCCACACATAACAATATTAACTTTAAATGTAAATGGACTAAATGCTCCAATTAAAAGACATAGACTGGCAAATTGGATAAAGAGTCAAGACCCATCAGTGTGCTGTATTCAGGAAACCCATCTCATGTGCAGAGACACACATAGGCTCAAAATAAGAGGATGGAGGAAGATCTACAAAGCAAATGGAAAACAAAAAAAGGCAGGGGTTGCAATCCTAGCCTCTGATAAAACGGACTTTAAACCAACAAAGATCAAAAGAGACAAAGAAGGCCATTACATAATGGTAAAGAGATCAATTTAAAAAGAAGCGTTAACTATCCTAAATATATACTCCCCTAATACAGGAGCACCCAGATTCATAAAGCAAGTCCTGAGCGATATACAAAGAGACTTAGACTCCCACACATTAATAATGGGAGACTTTAACACCCCACTGTCAACATTAGACAGATCAGTGAGACAGAAAGTTAACAAGGATACCCAGGAATTGAACTCAGCTCTGCACCAAGTAGCCCGAGTAGACATCTACAGAACTCTCCACCCCAAATCAACAGAATATACATTTTCTTCAGCACCACACCTGTTCCAAAATTGACCACATAGTTGGAAGTAAAGCTCTACTCAGCAAATGTAAAAGAACAGAAATTATAACAAACTCTCTCTCAGACCACAGTGCAATCAAACTAGAACTCAGGATTAAGAATCTCACTCAAAACCACTCAACTACATGGAAACTGAACAACCTGCTCCTCAATGACTACTGAGTACAGAATGAAATGAAGGCAGAAATAAAGATGTTCTTTGAAACCAACGAGAACAAAGACACAACATACCAGAATCTCTGGGACGCATTCAAAGCAGTGTGTAGAAGGAAATTTATAGCACTAAATGCCCACAAGAGAAAGCAGGAAAGATCCAAAATTGACACCCTAACATCACAATTAAAAGAACTAGAAAAGCAAGAACAAACACATTCAAAAGCTAGCAGAGGGCAAGAAATAACTAAAATCAGAGCAGAACTAAAGGAAATAGAGACACAAAAAACCCTTCAAAAAATTAATGAATCCAGGAGCTGGTTTTTTGAAAGGATCAACAAAATTGATACACTGCTAGCAAGACTAATAAAGAAAAAAAGAAAGAAGAATCAAATAGACTCAATAAGAAATGATAAAGGGGATATCACCACTGATCCCACAGAAATACAAACTACCATCAGAGAATAATACAAACACCTCTATGCAAATAAACTAGAAAATCTAGAAGAAATGGATAAATTCCTCGACACATACACTCTCCCAAGACTAAACTAGGAAGAAGTTGAATCTCTGAATAGAGCAATAACAGGCTCTGAAATTGTGGCAATAATCAATAGCTTACCAACCAAAAAGAGTCCAGGACCAGATGGATTCACAGCCGAATTCTACCAGAGGTAGAAGGAGGAACTGGTCCCATTCCTTCTGAAACTATTCCAATCAATAGAAAAAGAGGGAATCCTCCCTAACTCATTTTATGAGGCCAGCATCATCCTGATACCAAAGCCTGGCAGAGACACAACCAAAAAAGAGAATTTTAGACCAATATCCTTGATGAACATTGATGCAAAAATCCTCAATAAAATACTGGCAGACAGAATCCAGCAGCACATCAAAAAGCTTATCCACCATGATCAAGTGGGTTTCATCCCTGGGATGCAAGGCTGGTTCAATAGACACAAATCAATAAATGTAATCCAGCATATAAACAGAACCAAAGACAAAAACCACATGATTATCTCAATAGATGCAGAAAAGGCCTTTGACAAAATTCAGCAACCTTTCATGCTAAAAACTCTCAATAAATTAGGTATTGATGGGATGTATCTCAAAATAATAAGAGCTATCTATGACAAACCCACAACCAATATCATACTGAATGGGTAAAAACTGGAAGCATTCCCTTTGAAAACTGGCAAAAGAAAGGGAGGCCCTCTCTCACCACTCCTATTCAACATAGTGTTGGAAGTTCTGGCCAGGGCAATTAGGCAGGAGAAGGAAATAAAGGGTATTCAATTAGGAAAAGAGGAAGTCAAATTGTCCCTGTTTGCAGACGACATGATTGTATATCTAGAAAACCTCATCGTCTCATCCCAAAATCTCCTTAAGCTGATAAGCAACTTCAGCACAGTCTCAGGATACAAAATCAATGTACAAAAATCACAAGCATTCTTATACACCAACAACAGACAAACAGAGAGCCAAATCATGAGTGAACTCCCATTCACAATTGCTTCAAAGAGAATAAAATACCTAGGAATCCAACTTACAAGGGATGTGAAGGACCTCTTCAAGGAGAACTACAAACCACTGCTCAATGAAATAAAAGAGGACACAAACAAATGGAAGAACATTCCATGCTCATGGGTAGGAAGAATCAATATCGTGAAAATGGCCATACTGCCGAAGGGAATTTATAGATTCAATGCCATCCCCATCAAGCTACCAATGACTTTCTTCACAGAATTGGAAAAAACTACTTTAAAGTTCATCTGGAACCAAAAAAGAGCCCGCATCGACAAGTCAATCCTAAGCCAAAAGAACAAAGCTGGAGGCATCACACAACCTGACTTCAAACTATACTACAAGGCTACAGTAACCAAAACAGCATGGTACTGGTACCAAAACAGAGATATAGATCAATGGAACACAACAGAGCCCTCAGAAATAACGCCGCATATCTACAACTATCTGATCTTTGACAAACCTGAGAAAAACAAGCAATGGGGAAAGGATTCCCTATTTAATAAATGGTGCTGGGAAAACTGGCTAGCCATATGTAGAAAGCTGAAACTGGATCCCTTCCTTACACCTTATACAAAAATCAATTCAAGATGGATTAAAGACTTAAACGTTAGACCTAAAACCATAAAAACCCTAGAAGAAAACCTAGGCATTACCATTCAAGACATAGGCATGGGCAAGGACTTCATGTCTAAAACACCAAAAGCAATGGCAACAAAAGCCAAAATTGACAAATGGGATCTAATTAAACTCAAGAGCTTCTGCACAGCAAAAGAAACTACCATCAGAGTGAACAGGCAACCTACAACATGGGAGAAAATTTTCGCAACCTGCTCATCTGACAAAGGGCTAATATCCAGAATCTACAATGAACTCAAACAAATTTACAAGAAAAAGACAAAGAACCCCATCAAAAAGTGGGCGAAGGACATGAACAGACACTTCTCAAAAGAAGACATTTATGCAGCCAAAAAACACATGAAAAAATGCTCACCATCACTGGCCATCAGAGAAATGCAAATCAAAACCACAATGAGATACCATCCCACACCAGTTAGAATGGCAATCATTAAAAAGTCAGGAAACAACAGGTGCTGGAGAGGATGTGGAGAAATAGGAACACTTTTACACTGTTGGTGGGACTGTAAACTAGTTCAACCATTGTGGAAGTCAGTGTGGCGATTCCTCAGGGATCTAGAACTAGAAATACCATTTGACCCAGCCATCCCACTACTGGGTATATACCCAAAGGACTATAAATCATGCTGCTATAAAGACACATGCACACGTATGTTTATTGCGGCACTATTCACAATAGCAAAGACTTGGAACCAACCCAAATGTCCAACAACGATAGAGTGGATTAAGAAAATGTGGCACATATACACCATGGAATACTATGCAGCCACCAAATACCGCATATTCTCACTCATAGGTGGGAATTGAACAATGAGAACACATGGACACAGGAAGGGGAACATCACACTCTGGGGACTGTTGTGGGGTGGGGGGAGGGTGGAGGGAGAGCATTGGGAGATATACCTAATGCTAGATGACGAGTTAGTGGGTGCAGCGCACCAGCATGGCACATGTGTACATATGTAACTAACCTGCACATTGGGCACATGTACCCTAAAACTTATAGTATAATAATAATAAATTTAAAAAAAACAGAACAGAAAAAAATAAAAATAAAAATAGTTAATGAACTGCTGGAACACATGGTGCTGATGGTCAGAACTGAACATATTGTCATATAAATTACTTATAGATACTCTGAAACAAAATATACATAATTCATTATGAGTGTTTAATTTCATGCTTACTAAGTTTTAATTATAATCATATTCACACAGCATATGTATTGTTATTCTTCAATTATTCCCTTCTCATATTAATTAATTAATTAAAGTCCTGGTTTAAGAAACCTGGCACAGTTTTGGCTGCTTTTTATAATACTATCAGATGTCTTGTTTGAAAATTGCCTTTAAACACTTTGACAGCCAAGACCATTCAATGCTTCAACAAATGAAGCTGGGACAACTAGAGAGATCCACATGCAGAATAATTAAATTTAGCTCTTACCTCACAGCTCACAATATCTCCAAAGTATGCCTATAAATTATTATCTCAGTTAATCCTCACAAAACTATGATGGAATTACTGTTATTATCCTTACTTTACCAAAAATAAAACTGAGTTGCAGAAAGGCTATGTAATTTCCTTAAGGTCACACACTTCTTGGTCAAAGTCAGGATTCAAACACAGGCTCTCTGATTCCATACTTTTAGCCGTTCTACTATAAAGGAGAGCTCAAGAACTTGTGGTATCTCCCTCCATTTTACTAAATCTTAACTTTAATGTCATAGAACCATAAATAAAATGAAATGGAAAGAATCTTCATAGTCTATCTAGCCAAGAGATTGCAACCTAGTAGCTCACAGAAAGAGTATAGCTTACAAATATTTTATTTGATCTTTATACGGTTTTCATGTAAACTCCTCGTCAAAAATTAAAAATTAAAAGATTTCACATAAAAATATAAATTTCTGGAGTCTCTAGAAATATCACACTATTGAGTCTTCATTGCCACTTAGCCATAAATGGTTGGAGCTAGGCTATTTCTGTCTGTTTATACATGGCAGACATGCTTTACTCAGACAGGTTTCCACCTGTCTTTTACTCATTTAGCTACTTGGCCACTGTAGAAATTTGCATTTACAAACTTCTGTTTGATTGACTTCCAGATGGGGAATAAAAACACAGGTATGGAAATGGACTTACCCAAAATGACAGAGAGTGTTGGTAGCAAAACCAAGTCAAGAGCCTAAGTCTTTTTGATTGTCAATTTAAGTCTCTTTCCACTATATGATATTTAATTTTCTGTGTCTTTTAATAAGTTATTTCTTTTACTATGAATGCTCTCTCAACATTTCTTTCAGTCTTCTCATTATTTCCTTCAAAACTGGCCTGAACATTTACTCTCCATACATACTCTTCCAGATTAATCCATCCTGACTCTGGTCACAAATACTCAGCATCCCTCTTAGCACTTAAGAATTTGCACTTGCTGACATGCTTTTTTTTTTTTTTTTTTTTGGAAAGCATTCAATCATTTCCTCTGTTTATGTTTTGTTCTCTCACCTAGACTATCTTCCTTAAGATTAAGGTAAGCCTGAGACAAAATTGTGAAGTTAGCAAAACTCTTTTGGGAGAACAGGATCTCACTCTGTCACTCAGGCTGGAGTGCAGTGGTGTGATCATAGCTCACTGCAGCCTTGACCTCCTGAACTCAAGTAATCCTAACACCTCAGCCTCCCAAGTAGCTAGGACTGCATGCATGTGCCACCACGCCTAGCTATTCTTTTTAAAAAATGTCTGTAGAGACAGGGTCTTGCTATGGTGCCCAGGCTGGTCTTGAACTCCTGACCTCAAGTTGTCTTTCTGCCTCAGCTTACCAAAGCACTGCAGTTACAGGTGTGAACCACTGCATCCAGTCCTGAAGTTGGTGAAACTTTATTTCAGTGCTTCCAATTTTTAACTTTGCTCTCCTGACTACCCAGTGCTCACTCTTTTGTCCTCTTTCTACCCCTGTAAAAGCTTTATCGAAGCAATGCCTCTGATATCAGTCATTTACTAAGGACTCACAAACTGGTGCTCTACAAGTTAAATTTGGCCAGAAGAAAATTTATGTTTGTATGATAAACATTTTTTGACTTTTTGAATTTGAAAGTCTTTAGATCAGACATTGAATTTCTAGTTCATTACCAATTTCTTTAATCTAGTTTTATAGACCTGGCCTGATTTACATACTCATGTTAACTGTTTGTCCACTGTAGACATTTAAGCTAGTGTTGCCTATATCATATCTTCCATTTGGGCTTCTGCATTATTCCTGAGACCCATTTCCACTTTGCCCCATATGTGGTAGGTGAATGTCAATCTTGTTCCCTGTGCTTGCATCTATGTAATCTTGATAATATTCCCCAAATCTCAAGGTCTGACTTGTTATCAGGTGACACATTTCCTGATGCTAAACGTCTGCTTTGACTGTGCTCTAATTGACATAGGTTCCTTGATTCGGTAGACTTGTACTCTGACCTACATTGGGGAGCATGCTCTTTCTTTCCATTGGACCCTCTCATACGATTTGTGTAAATGACCACCTGTTGCCCTGCCAATTAGATATGATGCCTGTCTGCCAGATATAACTTCTCTCCGATGCTTAAGGCTAAATCTTATCCCAGGTATCTACCTCTGCTTAGTGAAGAGAACTAATTCTAAATTTTACTTTTGCGCAGTTGATCTGACGGTACTTGCAAAAAACTATAAGGTCACAATCACAGAGGTCTATTCATAGGATATCAAATGTAATCTTAAGTTCATAAATTCCCTTTTCCAGGAACATTTGTATTCTGGCATTTTAGATATCAGCCAATAAGGGGTAGGAGAGGTTTGGAGAAAATGAAGAGGTGAAAGACATAAATAAGAACTTATCAGGGTCTCTGGAAAAACTCAGTTGATGTTCAGGATCCTGATGCTGTTCAGCACCTTGGTAAGGATTTTTTTCTTTGTAATTCTATAAAGTGCTGAGCATAAATGAAGGCTTAGTAAATATTATTTTGTCTCTGGGAAACTATTCACAATGCAGTACAAATCACATCACTGGACAAACCAAACACAGAGAAGCAAGTTATTCAAAACTAGGTACTTAATTTAAAAAGAAATTTACAGCAAAGAAACTAAGAGTTATAGAAACTATTGATATTTTAGCCTTGAAATCCTGGCTGAAAAGAAGAAATGGTGAGTCCAATCAAAGTACAACAGTTTGTAAAAAGATTAGTCTGTTCCTCTTCTAATTAAATTCTTACACTAATATTTTTCTCTTTAGTTTTATTGCCAAGTATCTACAGTGATTTTGTTAAATAACAGTAAGACTGGGTTACTTTTTAACTCTTTTCAAATTAAATAAAATAAATAATATTGCTTCCACTTTTTATGTAAGAAATTCATGACAGCTTAAGTAATTGTCCAAAATCTGCAAGAGGGTAGCACTCAGAATGAAAAAGCTCTGTTTTTCATAGTTACAGGATTAGGCACTAGACCTCAACTCAATGACCTACAAAATATATCCTTAATATAATTATTAAATTTGTTATTACAATTTATGTGATAAGCATGTATATTGTGTTTCATATATGAATTTTGAAAATACTGTACATCGTACCTTTCAAAGTACATTATTGCACGTAGAAAATATGAAGCCAGTTTTTTGGAAAATAATAGCTACTAAAAATATTTATATAGGCAATAAATATTGTGGATACAACCAAAATTAGCTGCAAAACGAAAACATCAAATAACATAATACTTCTCGGCTGGGCGCGGTGGCTCACGCTTGTAATCTCAGCACTTTGGGAGGCCGAGGCGAGCGGATCACGAGGTCAGGAGATTGAGACCATCCTGGCTAACACGGTGAAACCCTGTCTCTACTAAAAATACAAAAAATTAGCCAGGTGTGGTTGCGGGCGCCTGTGGTCCCAGCTACTCAGGAGGCTGAGGCAGGGGAATGGCATGAACCCAGGAGGTGGAGCTTGCAGTGAGTCGAAATCGCGCCACTGCACTCCAGTCTGGGAGACAGAGCGAGACTCCGTCTCAAAAAAAAAAAAACAAAAACAAAAACAAAAAACATAATACTTCTCAACACAGAACAGAATATGCCTCTTTTTTCAACAGATAGACACAATATGAATTACCTTAAAAAGCAATTCCTTGCTAAGGTGTACAAAATAGGCAAAGTTTTGTATAATTGCCAAATCTATGCCGTTCATGGAGTTACTATCTGTTAGGGCTTTTTTCTTGAAGGATGACTTGATTTTGACCAGGCTCTTTTTAAACTTAATTTTTACCTAACCAAAATTACCTAGTTATGAAATATTATATAAAAATAACATTGTTACAGTGATTCTGCAAAGTTGATGGCAGTAGCAGCATAGTTTTTAATCACAGTCCAGAATAACCTGTAAAAACAGAACAACTAGAACAGTAAACAAACAAAACATATACATCAAAAATAACGAAAAATCAAGATACTGCTCACACATCTCAACATCCAAGCTGAGGGGGAAAAAAACACCAACAGGTAGAAAGATGTATATAGTTTCAGCATCTTTGAGTAGGGAACTGCCTTAGTCCATTTGTATTGTTGTAAAGAAATACCTGAGGCTGGGTAATTTACAAGAAAAAAGGGGTTCATTTTGCTCATGGTTCTGCAGGATGTACAAGAAACATGGTACTGGCAACTGCATCTGGAGAGATCCTTAAGCTGCTTCCACTCATGGCAGAAGGCAAAAGGGAGCTGACATGTAAAGATCACATGGAGGGAAGTGTTAAAGTGAACTAAATATGGCCTGAGAAGACTCCATCCTTCTATATTTGAGTACTTGTGGACGAACCGTTACCTAGCTTAATAGGCAGACAAACTTGAAAACCTAACTTAATAGTATGCATTTGGAATAATAGCTGAGTGTTGGCCAATCCCAGTGGACATACTTCAACCACCCATAGACTACTGAATGTTTAAACTGTGTTCAAATAAGGCAAATGCCAAGCTGTAACCAATCTCACTGTTTCGGTACCTCACTTCCGATTTCTGTACGTCACTTTACTTTTTTGTCTGTAAGTTTGTTCTGACCACGAGGCACCCTGGAATCTCTCTGAATCTGCTATGATTCTGGAGGCTGCCTGATTTGTGAATCGTTTCTTTTCTTTGCTCAATTAAACTCCATCAAATTTACCTTGTCTGAAGTTTTCTTTTAACAGATCTGGTGTCAGAAGATCTGATTTTGTTAAATAAAAGTAAGAATGGGTTACTTTTCAACGCTTTTCAAATTAAATAAAATAAATAATATTGCTTCTACTTTTTATATAAGAAATCCATGACGGCTTAATTAATCCTTCAAAAAGATTTTTCGAAGCAAAACTCTGGCGACTCCCAGAAAAAACAGGTTACCAGGCCAGGTACCTGCCGGGCTCATTATGCTCACTGTTCTCTTGATTGTAACTGGAGGTCATGGGTGTTTTCTCTCAGATTCCGAGCTCCACTAACTTGTGTTTTGAGCTCTCTGAGTTTACTGGAGCAATACTTAGACTACACTGGGTCCAAGATGGGATTGGATTCAGTAAATAACTGAATTGGATTCAGTTAGACATCTCGGACCTCCAATAGGTACCTTATTTAATAATGGGATCATCTCAATCCAAGGAGTCTGGGACTCCACCTTCTGGGACTCCAGGTAATTTTATTTATAAAAATTATGGGCCTTGAATATGTGCATTTTTATAAAAATTGGTTAACCTCACTAAAGAAAACTTAGAATTAAGGTGGCCGCAATAAGGAAGTTTTAATTTGAATAAAATGGTTTATTTGTGAGGCATATTAGAAAAACAGGACTCAGAAACCCCACAAAAACAGTGGGATGTATTCTTTGATTGTTATGCAGAGGCTTCTAAAAGACTAAATGAATAAAAAATTGCCTCCTTGTGCTGGAGAGGATGTGGAGAAATAGGAACACTTTTACACTGTTGGTGGGACTGTAAACTAGTTCAACCATTGTGGAAGTCAGTGTGGCGATTCCTCAGGGATCTAGAACTAGAAATACCATTTGACCCAGCCATCCCATTACTGGGTATATACCCAAAGGATTATAAATCATGCTGCTGTAAAGACACATGCACACGTATGTTTATTGTGACACTATTCACAATAGCAAAGACTTGGAACCAACCCAAATGTCTGACAATGATAGAGTGGATTAAGAAAATGTGGCACATATACACCATGGAATACTATGCAGCCATAAAAAATGATGAGTTCATGTCCTTTGTAGGGACATGGATGAAGCTCGAAACCATCTTTCTCAGAAAACTATCACAAGGACAAAAAACCGAACACCGCATGTTCTCACTCATAGGTGGGAATTGAACAATGAGAACACATGGACACAGGAAGGGGAACATCACACACCAGGGCCAGTTGTGGGGTGGGGGGAGGGGGGAGGGATAGCATTAGGAGATATACCTAATGTTAAATGATGAGTTAATGGTGCAGCACACCAACATGGCACATGTATACATATGTAACTAACCTGCCCATTGTGCACATGTACTCTAAAACTTAAAGTATAATTAAAAAAAATAAAAATAAAAATAAAATAAAATGCAAAAAAAAGATTCTTTGCAAAAAGCAAATGAAAAGCTTAAGCAACTGACCAAGGACATGACAAAAGAGGATTTTACTCTGACTGAACTAACCCCAACTGTTCCTTCTCTTTATCAATCTCTACTAACATACTCTGAGTCCACTAAACTTTTTGCAAATTACTCTTTCACCCTGAGGATGATGACAAAAAGAAGTTAGACAGATGCCTTATAAAGTGAGACCTTCTGATCAGCCAGGTCTGCCTGCTGTAACTACTTTCACTCCATGGTCTAAAACTGAGCTTAGAGCCATTTTGAAGGTCTTCTCTGATCCAACGGAAAATCCTCAAAAATTTACTGAGGAATTTAGAATCCTCACAGCAGCTTACGATCCAGACTTCCTGACCTTTACCAATTTATTCAAATAATATTGGGGCCTAGTGAAGCTCGGAAATGAATGGAGGCAGTAGAATGAGACAAACATGAGGAGGCTATTAAAAACTCCTCCAAGAGCTCCTCATGAGAAGGACCAAAAGTAGCTAGAAGAAAATGCTGAAGAGCTTTTACATTCAATTCCTAAAAATTTTTTAAAAAATTAACTGGTCCATCACACAATCTTGTAAGCAAAAAAGAGAACGAACCTGTTTCAGATTACAGAATTCACTTAGAAATATTGTTTGTGAAACATTCTTGGCTCAAACTACAGCAAGGAGTATTTCCTGCAGGGACTGAAATGGCATTAACTGCTCCATCTATAAATGGACTATGTCCTGAACTTAGCAGTTTAATTAAAAAACATAAGTTGGGATGGGAAGTTACAGATATGACTGATTTGTTGGCCTTAGCTGAACATTTTGAGAGGACTCTAGAGCAAGAAAAAACTCAAAAGGCTAACAAGCTTATGACCCTTCAATTACAACAGTTCCAGGGACTGGGACCACAGGGACCTTCTCGTTATCATTTTAAGTCACAATCAAGAAGTCCTAGAACAAGAAGTTCTTTACCCCAAGATGTCTGCCTGTATTGCAAACATCCAGGGCACTGGAAAAGGGGTTGTCCACTTTTGTATCAGTCCGCCAATAAGCCTTCCTCTAGGCCAAACTGTTTCACTACTAGAGGAAACCCAAGAGACCTTAGTTCTCCTGACAATAATGAACACAGATGAGGCTCCGAGGGATTCTCCAGTAGACTGCTTCCCATAATATCTTTAAATAAACTTGGAGAAAAAGAGGTTTAAATAAATGGGGAGTTGTGTACAGTGCCCATGGATGCTAGGACTACTCTATCTACCATAAACCCCACTTTAATAAGCCAACGAATTCTTCGGAGTAAAAAGGTCATTTCTGTGGTGGGGGTTTCAGATCAAGTTCAAGAGGTTCCCATATCTGAACCCATCCAGTTAACTTTTGGCCCCGTTTCAGAAAAACACTGTTTTACTATGTGATACTTCTCCAGTAAACTTGTTAAGGCAAGATTTACTTTCAAAGCTAAAAAGGCACATAAAATTTTCCTCAGAAGCTTGGAGGAGTTTGTTATTACCCACTTTCTGAAGCCTACTTCTGTCAATTCATCAAACTCATTCTCTGTCCAGTTTTGTTCCCTTGCTAGTGAGGAGTTGTGATCCTTTGGAGGAGAAGAGGCATTCTGGGTTTTGAAATTTTCAGCCTTTTTGCACTGGTTTTTCCTCACCTATGTGGATTTATCTACCTTTAGCCTTTGATGTTGGTGATTTTCAAATGGGGTTTCTGTGTGGATGTCCTTTTTGCTGATGTTGATGCTATTTCTTTCTGTTTGTTAGTTTTCTTTCTAACAGTCAGACCCCTCTGCTGCAGGTCTGCTGGAGTTTGCTGGAGATCCACTCCAGACCCTGTTTGCCTGGATATCACCAGCGGAGGCTTCATAACAGCAAATATTGCTGCCTGTTCCTTCCTCTGGAAGCTTCATCCCAGAGGGGAACTAGCCAGATGCCAGCCGGAGCTCTCCTGAATGAGGTGTCTGTCGACCCCTGCTGGGAAGTGTCTCCCAGTCAGGAGGAACAGGGGTCGGGAAGCCACTTGAGGAGGCATTCTCTTCCTTAGCAGAACTTGAACGCTGTACTGGGAGATCCGCTGCTCTCTTCAGAGCCAGCAGGCAGGAATGTTTAACTCTGCTGAAGCTGTGCCCACAAGCGCCCCTTCCCCCAGCTGCTCTGTCCCAGAGAGATGGGAGTTTTATCTATAAGCCCCTGACTGGGGCTGCTGCCTTTCTTTCAGAGATGCCCAGCCCAGAGAGGAGGAATCTAGAGAGGCAGGCTGGCTCCAGCAGCTTTGCCTAGCAGCGGTGGGCTCTGCCCAGTTCAAATTTCCCAGGGGCTCGTTTACACTGTGAGGGGAAAACAGCCTACTGCAGCCTCAGTAATGGCAGACCCCCCTCACCCCACCAAGATTGAGCATCCCAGGTCGACTTCAGACTGCTGCGCTGCAAGCAAGAATTTCAAGCCAGTGGATCTTAGCTTGCTGGGCTCCATGGGTGTGGGATCTGCTGAGCTATACCACTTGGCTTTCTGCCTTCAGTCCCCTTTCCAGGGAAGTGAATGATTCTGTCTCAGTGATGTTCCAGGCACCACTGGGGTATTAAAAAAAAATCCCACATCTAGCTCAATGTCTGCCAAAAGGCCACCCAGTTTTGTGCTTGAAACCCAGGGCCCTGGTGGTATAGGCACCCAAGGGAATCTCCTGGTCTGCAGGTTGCAAAGACCATGAGAAAAGCCTAGTATCATGGCCAAAATGCACCCTTCCTCACAGCACAGCTCCTCAAGGCTTTCCTTGGCTAAAGGAGGGAGTTATCCAACCCATTGCACTTCCTGGGTGAGGCAACACCCCATCCTGCTTCTGCTCACCCTCCTTGAGTATGTTCTAACCTAATGGAAAGAAACTAAGAACGTTGAAAAAAGGTTAGAGGAATTGCAAACTAGAATAACCTGTTTAGAGAAGAACATAAATGACCTGATGGAGTTGAAAAACACAGCACAAGAACTTCAATAAGCATACACAAGTATCAAAAGCTGAATCAATCAAGCAAAAGAAAGGATATCAGAAATTAAAGATCAACTTAATGAAATAAAGCATAAAGACAAGATTAGAGAAAAAAAATGAAAAGAAATGAACAAACCCTCCAAGAAATATGGGACTATGTGAAAAGACCAAACCTACGTTTGATTGGTGTACCTGAAAGTGACAGAAAGAATGGAACCAAGTTGGAAAACACTCTTCAAAATATTATGCAGGAAAACACCCCAACCTAGCAAGACAGGCCAACATTCAAATTCAGGAAATACAGAGAACACCACAAAGATATCCCTCGAGAAGAGCAATGCCAAGACACATAATATTCAGATTCACCAAGGTTGAAATGAAGAAAAAAATGTTAAGGGCAGCCAGAGAGAAAGGTCGGGTTACCCACAAAGGGAAGCCCAACAGATTAACAGCAGATCTCTCAGCAGAAACTCTACAAGCCAGAAGAAAGTGGGAGTCAATATTCAACATTCTTAAAGAAAAGAATTTTCAACCCAGAATTTCATATCCAGCCAAACTAAGCTTCATAAGTGAAGGAGAAATAAGATCCTTTACAGACAAGCAAATGCTGAGAGATTTTGTCACCACCAGCTGTGCTTTATAAGAGCTCCTGAAGGAAGCACTAAATAGGGAAAGTAAAAACTGGTAACAGCCACTGCAAAAACATACCAAATTGTAAAGACAATAGACACTATGAAGAAACTGTATCAACTAAGAAGCAAAATAACCAGCTAGAACTATAATGAGAGTATCAAATTCACACATAACAATATTAACATTAAATGTAAATGGGCTAAATGCCCCAAGTAAAAGACACAGACCGGCAAATTGAATAAAGAGTCAAGACCCATCAGTGTGCTGTATTCAGGAGACCCATCTCATGTATGAAGACACACATAAACTCAAAAAAAAAAAAAAAAAAAAGGGAGGAATATTTACCAAGCAAATGGAAAGCAAAAAAACAGCAGGGGTTGCAATCCTAGTCTCTGATAAAACAGACTTTCAACCAACAAAGATCAAAAAAGACAAAGAAGGACACTACATAATGGTAAAGGGATCAATACAACAAGAAGAGCTAACTATCCTAAATATATATACACCCAATACAGAGCACCCAGATTCATAAAGCAGGTTCTTAGAGACCTACACAGAGACTTTGACTCCCACACAATAATAGTAGGAGACTTAAACACCCTACTGTCAATATTAGATCAACAAGACAGAAAATTAACCAGGATATTCAGGACTTGAATCAGCTCTGGACCAAGCCGACCTAATAGACATCTACAGAAGTCTCCATCCCAAATCAACAGAATATACATTCTTCTCAGCATCACATTGCACTTATTCTAAAATTGACCACATAATTGAAAGTAAAACCCTCCTCAGCAAATGCAAAAGAATGGAAATCATAAAAAACAGTCTCTCAGACCAAAGTGCAATCAAATTAGAACTCAGGATAAAGAAACTCACTCAAAACTGCACAACAACATAGACACTGAACAACTGCTCTGAATGACTGCTGGGTAAATAACGAAATAAAGGCAGAAATAAAGATGATCTTTGAAACCAATGAGAACCAAGACACAATGTACCAGAACATCTGGGACACATTTAAAGCAGTGTTAAGAGGGAAATTTATAGCACTAAATGCCCACATCGGAAAGTGGGAAAGATCTAAAATTGACAACCTAACACCACAATTAAAAGAACTAAAGAAGCAAGAGCAAACAAATTCAAAAGCTAGCAGAAGACAAGAAATAACTAACATCAGAGCAGAACTGAAGGAGAGAGAGACACAAAAAACCCTCCAAAAAATAATGAATCCAGGAGCTGGTTTTCTGAAAAAAATAACAAAATAGATAGACTGCTAACCAGACTATAAAGAAGAAAAGAGAGAAGACTCAAACAGACACAGTAAAAAATGATAAAGGGGATATCACCACTGATCCCACAGAAATACAAACTAACATCAGAGAACACTATAAACACCTCTATGCAAATAAATTAGAAAATCCAGAAGAAATTGATAAGTTCCTGGACACATACACTCTCCCAAGTCTAAACCAGAAAGAAGTCGAATCCCTGAATAGATCAATAACAAGTTCTGAAATTAAGGCCGTAATTAATAGCCTACTGACCAAAAAAAAGTCGAGGACCAGACGGATTCGCAGCCAAATTCTACCAGAGGTACAAAAAGGAGCTGGTACCATTCCCTCTGAAACTATTTCAAACAATAGAAAAAGAGGGACTCCTCCTTAACTCATTTAATGAGGCCATCCAATATCCCTGATGAATATCAATGCAAAAATCCTCAAAAAAAAATAATAGCAAACCGAATCCAGCAGCACATCAAAAAGCTTATCCAACATGATCAAGTCTGCTTCATCCTGGAATGCAAGGGTGGTTCAATATACGCAAATCAATAAATGTAATCCATCACATAAACAGAACCAAAGACAAAAAACATATGATTTTCTAAATAGATGCAGAAAAGGCCTCTGACAAAATTCAACAGCCCTTCATGCTAAAAACTCTCAATAAATTAGGTATTGATGGAACATATATCAAAATAATAAGAGCTATTTATGACAAACACACAGCCAATATCAAACTAAATGGGCAAAAGTTGGAAGCATTCCCTTTGAAAACTGGCACAAGACAAAGATGCCCTCTCTTGCCACTCCTATTCAACATAATATTGAAAGTTCTGACCAGGGCAATCAGGCATGAGAAAGAAAGAAAGGGTATTCAAATAGGAAGAGAGGAAGTCACATTGTCTCTGTTGGCAGAAGACATGATTCTATATTAAGAAAACCGCATTGTCTTGGCTCAAAGTCTCCTTAAGCTGATAAGCAACTTCAGCAAAGTCTCAGGATACAAAATCAATGTGCAAAAATCACAAGAATTCTTATACACCAATAATAGACAAACAGAGAGCCAAATCATGAGTGAATTCCAATTCTCAGTTGCTACAAAAAGAATAAAATACCTAGGAATACAACTTACAAGGGAGGTGAAGGACCTCTTCAAGGAAAACTACACAACACTGCTCAAGGATATTAGAGAGGACACAAAGAAATGGAAAAAACATTCCATGCTCATAGATAGGAAGAAACAACATAGTGAAAATGGCCATACTGCCCAAAGTAATGTATAGATTCAATGCTATCCCCATCAAGCTACCACTAACTTTTTTCAAAGAATTAGAAAAAACTAATTTAAACTTCATATGGAACCAAAAAAGAGTCTGCATAGCCAAGACAATCCTAAGCAAAAGGAACAAAGCTGGAGGCATCATGCTATCTGACTTCAAACTATGCTACAAGCCTATATTAAGCAAAACAGCATGGTACTGGTACCAAAATAGATGTGTAGACCAAGGGAACAGAACAGAGGCCTCAGAAATAACACCACACATCTACAACCATCTGATCTTTGGCAAACCTGACAAAAACAAGCAATGGGGAAAGGTTCCCCTATTTAATAAATGGTGCTGGGAAAACTGGCTAGCCATATGCAGAAAACTGAAAATGGACCCTTTTCTTACACCTTATACAAAAATTAACTCAAGAGGGTTTAAAAACTTAAATGTAAGACCTAAAACCATAAAAACGCTAGAAGAAAACCTAGACAATACCATTCAGGACATAGGCATGGGTAAAGTCTTCATGACTAAAACACCAAAAGCAATGGCAACAAAACACAAAATTGACTAATGGGATCTAATTAAACTAAACAGCTGCTGCACAGCCAAAAAAAAACTATCACCAGAGTCACCAGGCAACCTACAGAATAGGAAAAACATTTTTCAATTTACCCATCTGACAAAGGGCTAATATCTAGAATTTACAAGGAACTTAAACAAATTTACAAGAAAAAAACAAACAACCCCATCAAAAAGTGTCCAAGGAATATGAACAGAGCAACTCCAAGACACATAATTGTCAGATTCACCAAAGTTGAAATGAAGGAAAAAATGTTAAGGGCAGCCAGAGAGAAAGGTCGGGTTACCCACAAAGGGAAGCCTATCAGACTAACAGCTGATTTCTTGGCAGAAACTCTACAAGCCAGAAGAGAGTGGGGGCCAATATTCAACATTCTTAAAGAAAAGAATTTTCAACCCAGAATTTCATATCCAGCCAAACTAAGCTTCATAAGTGAAGGAGAAATAAAATACTTTACAGACAAGCAAATGCTGAGAGATTTTGTCACCACCAGGCCTGCCCTAAAAGCTCCTGAAGGAAGCACTAAACTTGGAAAGGAACAACCAGTACCAGCCACTGCAAAATCATGCCAAATTGTAAAGACCATCGAGGGTAGGAAGAAACTGCATCAACTAACGAGCAAAATAACCAGCTAACATCATAATGACAGGATCAAATTCACACATAACAATATTAACTTTAAATATAAATGGACTAAATGCTCCAATTAAAAGACATAGACTGGCAAATTGGATAAAGAGTCAAGACCCATCAGTGTGCTGTATTCAGGAAACCCATCTCACGGGCAGAGACACACATAGGCTCAAAATAAAAGGATGGAGGAAGACCTACCAAGCAGATGGAAAACAAAAAAAGGCAGGGGTTGCAATCCTAGTCTCTGATAAAACAGACTTTAAAACAACAGAGATCAAAAGAGACAAAGAAGGTCATTTCGTAATGGTAAAGGGATCAATTCAACAGGAAGAGCTAACTATCCTAAATATATATGCACCCAATACAGGAGCACCCAGATTCATAAAGCAAGTCCTGAGTGACCTACAAAGAGACTCAGGCTCCCACACAATAATAATGGGAGATTTTAACACCCTACTGTCAACATTAGACAGATCAACAAGACAGAAAGTTAACAAGGATATCCAGGAATTGAACTCAGCTCTGCACCAAGCGGACCTAATAGACATCTACAGAACTCTCCACCCCAAATCAACAGAATATACATTTTTTTCAGCACCACACCACACCTATTCCAAAATTGACCACATAGTTGGAAGTAAAGCTCTACTCAGCAAATGTAAAAGAACAGAAATTATAACAAACTCTCTCTCAGACCACAGTGCAATCAAACTAGAACTCAGGATTAAGAAACTCACTCAAAACTGCTCAACTACATGGAAACTGAACAACCTGCTCCTCAATGACTACTGGGTACAGAATGAAATGAAGGCAGAAATAAAGATGTTCTTTGAAACCAACGAGAACAAAGACACAAAATACCAGAATCTCTGGGACACATTCAAAGGAGTGTGTAGAGGGAAATTTATAGCACTAAATGCCCACAAGAGAAAGCAGGAAAGATCCAAAATTGACACCCTAACATCACAATTAAAAGAACTAGAAAAGCAAGAGCAAACACATTCAAAAGCTAGCAGAAGGCAAGAAATAACTAAAATCAGAGCAGAACTGAAGGAAATAGGGACACAAAAAACCTTTCAAAAAATTAATGAATCCAGGAGCTGGTTTTCTGAAAGGATCAACAAAATTGATAGACTGCTAGCAGGACTAATAAAGAAAAAAAGAGAGAAGAATCAAATAGACGCAATAAAAAATGATAAAGGGGATATCACCACCAAACCCACAGAAATACAAACTACCATCAGAGAATAATACAAACACCTCTATGCAAATAAACTAGAAAATCTAGAAGAAATGGATAAATTCCTCGACACATACACTCTCCCAAGACTAAACCAGGAAGATGTTGAATCTCTGAAGAGACCAATAACAGGCTCTGAAATTGTGGCAATAATCAATAGCTTACCAACCAAAAAACGTCCAGTACCAGATGGATTCACAGCCGAATTCTACCAGAGGTACAAGGAGGAACTGGTACCATTCCTTCTGAAACTATTCCAATCAATAGAAAAAGAGGGAATCCTCCCTAACTCATTTTATGAGGCCAGCATCATCCTGATACCAAAGCCGGGCAGAGACACAACCAAAAAAGAGAATTTTAGACCAATATCCTTGATGAACATTGATCCAAAAATCCTCAATAAAATACTGGCAAACCGAATCCAGCAGCACATCAAAAATCTTATCCACCATGATCAAGTGGGCTTCATCCCTGGGATGCTGGTTCAATATATGCAAATCAATAAATGTAATCCAGCATATAAACAGAACCAAAGACAAAAACCACATGATTATCTCAATAGATGCAGAAAAGGCCTTTGACAAAATTCAACAGCCCTTCATGCTAAAAACTCTCAGTAAATTAGGTATTGATGGAACATATCTCAAAATAATAAGAGCTATCTATGACAAACCCACAGCCAATATCATACTGAATGGGTAAAAACTGGAAGCATTCCCTTTGAAAACTGGCACAAGACAGGGATGCCCTCTCTCACCACTCCTATTCAACATAGTGTTGGAAGTTCTGGCCAGGGCAATTAGGCAGGAGAAGGAAATAAAGGGTATTCAATTAGGGAAAGAGGAAGTCAAATTGTCCCTGTTTGCAGACGACATGATTGTATATCTAGAAAACCCCATTCTCTCAGCCCAAAATCTCCTTAAGCTGATAAGTAACTTCAGCAAAGTCTCAGGATGCAAAATCAATGTACAAAAATCACAAGCATTCTTATACACCAATAACAGACAAACAGAGAGCCAAATCATGAGTGAACTCCCATTCACAATTGCTTCAAAGAGAATAAAATACCTAGGAATCCAACTTACAAGGGACATGAAGGACCTCTTCAAGAAGAACTACAAACCACTGCTCAATGAAATAAAAGAGGATACAAACAAATGGAAGAACATTCCTTGCTCATGGGTAAGAAGAATCAATATCGTGAAAATGGCCATACTGCCCAAGGTAATTTACAGATTCAATGCCATCCCCATCAAGCTACCAATGACTTTCTTCACAGAATTGGAAAAAACTACTTTAAAGTTCATCTGGAACCAAAAAAGAGCCCGCATCGCCAAGTCAATCCTAAGCCAAAAGAACAAAGCTGCAGGCATCATGCTACCTGACTTCAAACTATACTACAAGGCTACAGTAACCAAAACAGCATGGTACTGGTACCAAAACAGAGATATAGATCAATGGAACAGAACAGAGCCCTCAGAAATAACGCCTCATATCTACAACTATCTGATCTTTGACAAACCTGAGAAAAACAAGAAATGGGGAAATGATTCCCTATTTAATAAATGGTGCTGGGAAAACTGGCTAGCCATATGTAGAAAGCTGAAACTGGATCCCTTCCTTACACCTTATACAAAAATTAATTCAAGATGGATTAAAGACTTAAACGTTAGACCTAAAACCATAAAAACCCTAGAAGAAAACCTAGGCATTACCATGCAGGACATAGGCATGGGCAAGGACTTCATGTCTAAAACACCAAAAGCAATGGCAACAAAAGACAAAATTGACAAATGGGATCTAATTAAACTAAAGAGTTTCTGCACAGCAAAAGAAACTACCATCAGAGTGAACAGGCAACCTATAAAATGGGAGAAAATTTTCGCAACCTACTCATCTCACAAAAGACTAATATCCAGAATCTACAATGAACTCAAACAAATTTATAAGAAAAAAACAAAGAACCCCATCAAAAAGTGGGTGAAGGACATGAACAGACACTTCTCAAAAGAAAACATTTATGCAGCCAAAAAACACATGAAAAAATGCTCACCATCACTGGCCATCAGAGAAATGCAAATCAAAACCACAATGAGATACCATCTCACACCAGTTAGAATGGCAATCATTAAAAAGTCAGGAAACATCAGGTGCTGGAGAGGAAGTGGAGAAATAGGACCACTTTTACACTGTTGGTGGGACTGTAAACTAGTTCAACCATTGTGGAAGTCAGTGTGGCGATTCCTCAGGGATCTAGAACTAGAAATACCATTGGACCCAGCCATCCCATTACTGGGTATATACCCAAAGGACTATAAATCATGCTGCTGTAAAGACACATGCACACGTATGTTTATTGTGGCACTATTCACAATAGCAAAGACTTGGAACCAACCCAAATGTCCAACAATGATAGACTGGATTAAGAAAATATGGCACATATACACCATAGAATACTATGCAGCCATAAAAAATGATGAGTTCATGTCCTTTGTAGGGACATGGATGAAATTGGAAATCATCATTCTCAGTAAACTATCGCAATAACAAAAAACCAAACACCACATATTCTCACTCATAGGTGGGAATTGAACTATGAGAACACATGGACACAGGAAGGGGAACATCACACTCTGGGGACTGTTTTGGGGTGGGGGGAGGGGGGAAGGATAGCTTTAGGAGATATACCTAATGCTAGATGACGAGTTAATGGGTGCAGCACACCAGCATGGCACATGTATACATATGTAACTAACCTGCACATTTTGCACATGTACCCTAAAACTTAAAGTATAATAAGAATAAAAAAAAAAAAGAACATGGTGGTATACATAAACCTATTGCATACTGTAGCCTGCAATTAGGCCCAGTCACTAAGGCATATCCCAATTGTTTAAAAGCAGTAGCAGCAGTGGCAAACCTGGTAGAAACTTCATGAGATCTGGTTTTAGAAAATGAACTTAATTTGCAAGTTCCACACGCTGGGGAAAGTCTATTAAATTCCACCTGAACCCAGCATTTTTCAGTGAGTAGACTAATATCTTATGAATTACTTCTCCTATCTTCTAATCTTCATCTAAAACACCGTTATCTACTTAATCCTGCTACTCTGTTACCTCTGCCTGACGATGGTGAAGACCATAATTGTGTAAGTGTAATGTCAAAAATCGTGGCCCTTCGTGTTGATTTGCAAGATACTCCACTGGATGATCCTGAATTAATACTTTTGGTTGATGGATCTTATGCCAAAAACTCAGAAGGAAAATATCAGGCTGGATATGCTGTTACCATGCAAAATGAGTTAATAGAAAAGAAAACTCTTCCTCAATTTAGGTCAGCACATCCTGCAGAGCTTTTTGCCCTTACCTGAGCATGTCATATAGCTAAGGACAAGTCAGTAAATATTTGTACAGATAGTAGATACGCTTTCGGAGTAGTATATTATTTTTGCATGATATGGAAACTATGAGGCTTTCTTACCACTAGTGGGACCCCCACCAAAAATGGACTCCAAGTAGATAAGCTCCTTTCTGCTATCCTGTTACCATTGCAGATTGCTGTTATTAAGACTGAAGCTCATACGTGTAGAACTGAACCTGAATATCAGGGAAATGCTTTACCATATTTTTATGCTAAATCAGCTAGTGCTGAAACTGTCAAAATATGCAATCTGAATAAATTCCATAAGATTAACCCAAGCCAAGTTCCAAACCGTGCGATGCACATGATTTTGAAAAACAAAGTTGGTATCTAAAAGAATGTAAATTTAATGTGAAGTGAAGACTCACAGAAGGCCTGGACAGCTGCCTGGTCCTTCCTGAGTCTTTGAAGCTTCCATCATTGAAAGCTCTGCACTCCACAACTCATCATGGAACAGACAAAATGATACAAATTATGAAAAAATACTGGTAGAGTGACTGTTCCAAAATTGCCAAAATGGTTTATACTCTATGTTTGACTTGTCAAACTCATAATCCTGGAAAAACAATCAAAACTTTGGTTGTATATTTCCACCACTTGATGGACCATTTCAGCATTTACAGATGGACTTCATTCAGTTGCCACCCTCAATGGGGTATTGTATGTTCTTGTAATAGCTTGCATGTTTTCTGGTTGGATAGAGGCCTTCCCATGTAGGAAAGCTGATGCTGTGATTGCAGCTATGAAAGTAATAATTTTGAAAATATTTTTCCTTTATGGGGAATCCTTCTAAAAATCTCCAGTGATAGAGGAACTCATTTTACTGGGCTAGTTTTAAAGCAGTTAAATAAGATGTTACTGACACAGTGGCATATTAAAACTGAAATTGGCAAAGTTAACTGAATCAATTGGGTTGCCTTGGCCAAAGGTGTTACACTCGGCTTTAGTTGCAATAATATCCACTCCCATTAGAAAACATAAATTGACCCCTTATGAAATAGTCACTGGAAGGCCTATGTCCCCAATAATAGCACCTCATGCTTCTTCTGCTCTCTTAAACTCTGATATGACTAAATACTGCAAGGCTTTAATATATTATGTCAAAGTATACTTCCACCCAGTAAAGGAAGCTTTTTGAGATCCACCAGCTGAGCACAATCAAACCCTCCGTGGTCTGGAACCAGGAGACTGGGTCTTCTGGAAATGATATCAGAGGAAGACTGCTCTTGATCCTGGTTGGAAGGGACCATATCAAGTTCTTCTCACCACACACACTGCAGTGAAGCTTCAGGGCCTTGAGCCTTGAGTCCACATCTCACAACTCAAAAGGGCCCCTTCAGACTCCTGGAACTGTACATCTGTTGAAGACTTTAAGGTAAAGCTGACCAGGAAAATCTCTCCCAAGAAGCAGACGGCATCCTAGTTGTAGACAGCTTTCCCAAGATCAAGATCACAGATCAACACTTCTCTACCATCATGAAAGCCTTATGTGTTTTTCTGTTTTCTTCATTTTTTGCCCTAATCCTTTCCTTTTCCCTATAGGAAAATCCATGGGACCATAATCAGTGGATGGCTCTAGCTCAAGCTTATGCTCTAGCACAAAACCAGAGTAATTGTTGGGTTTGTGGGCTAATGCCAAAAAATCAGGAAATGATTCCCCTGGTGCCAATGCCCTTCTGCGTTCCCAATGAGAATCACCCTGAAACTCCAAGGGAAGAATGGAAATTTATTCTTGGTATTCTAAACATCTCTGCTACTTGCTTTCCTACACTCACTAAAAACAACACTTTAACTTTTTCAATTGATAACTCGATCATTACCAAATATAAAAAAACAATCCAAGTAATGTCTGCAAAAGATATATTGTGCTTCCAGGCATCATGCACTCAAGATTAGGGAATTGTTTATGTTGGTACAAGTGATTGCTTGTATAATGTAACTGGATTAAATCCAGTTAGGTCTCTTTTTACTAGATGTGGTTATATACTCTTAGAACCTGCTATAAAGGGGCAGCAGAAAGTAAATTTCCCACTGAACATTGTTCAGGAACTATGTGGATTTATGGTCAAACATACCTGAAAGATTCCTGCTCAAATGCAACTAGGTGACCCTATTTTCCAACCCCTGAGGGTCCATATTGGGACTCTGGAGAATCTGCATATTCTATTCTGCCCCCTCGTTGGTTTGGTTCATGTTATTTGGCCTGGGTTGCTCCTGCCTTTTGAATAGTTTCCCCTGAAAATTCTCATGGTAGCCCTTATAATCGGAGGCCAAAACAATCAATAACTGAAATTAGCACTAGCCTTGAAATAGATGAGGATAAGCTAGTTTCTACTGAGGAAAGATTCCAGTGGGGTTCCTGGGGCTCACTCTTGGTGGTAGTGGGGTACCAGTTGTGTAGAATTTAAAGCTAATTTGTAAATTGGGAAAATTCTTGGATTTTGTAATCAATTAAACCTCCCAGGGTTTCAGACATGTAGAAGTTACTCTCAGAAAGGTAGATGACAACATACATATTCAACAAAAACACTTAATGAAACATCATGCAGCTTTAGATCTTTTTTTTTTGCTCAAGCTGGAGGCCTATGTTTGGTCTTAAACAAAAATGAATGTACTTATCTCTCCCCTGATTTTGTTACTACAGAAAGGCTAATTAAAATGGTGGCTGATACTGCTGTTTCCTTAGACACTGCCACCAAATACATTAAAAAAATCTCTCAAGAGAAAGGAACCCATGATGTGTTTATAGGAGCAACTAACAGTTGGTTTGCAGGCATCCTAGGTGGCGGATGGCAAGCTTGTGTTTTCCAAGGGTTTCTGATCTTTATATATTTTCTAGTAGGTTTCCAAGTTATTATGACTTGTATTACCAGGGTAACAATGAAAATGAGTACCTCTTTAAGTCAAGCGAACTATGGTCCTTAACCACTATCATACTGCAAACTAAGACTCTGACAAATTAGACCCTAATACTGTTAAACTACCTATATTGTCTGAACCTTAACTTGGCTAATTTGGTTTGGTTTGTTTCATAAGAATTCTTATTAAGGAGTACTCCTTGGCATTTTGATAGTATCCTCTTGATAGTCATAATGATAGTCCCCCGTCATGCAGTATCCTCTTAAGTCTTAAATGTTTTGTATACAGCCATCCATTGAGAGTTGGATGGTCTCACTCCAACTAGATCAGCAAGAAGATAAAGAATCATTTAGCTGGTACAAAGCTGCGACTTGTAAATTTCATATTAACACCAAAGAAGACTTGTGAGACTCCAAACTGAAACTAAAGAAGACTAATGAATTCCACACTGAGACCCAATGAGTTTTTATGATGGTGGCAGAGAGTGGCGTCAATGCCTAAAGTTTTGGTCAATCTCTATAAATTGACCAAAAGTGGGGAATTGTTAAAGGGAACTAAATATGGCCTGAGAAGGACTCCATACTTCTATATTTGAGTGCTTGTGGATGAACCATAACCCAGCTTAATAAACAGACAGAATTGAAAATCTAACTTAATAGTATGGATCTGTTATAATAGCTGAGTGTTGGCCAATCCCAGTGGCCATACTTCAATCACTCATAGACTGTTGAGTGTTTAAACTGCGTTCAGGTAAGGCAAACACCGAGCTGTAACCAATCTCACTGTTTCTGTACATCACTTTACTTTTTTGTCTGTAAATTTGTTCTGACCACGAGGCACCCTGGAATCTCTCTGAATCTGCTGTGATTATGGAGGCTGCCTGATTTGTGAATCGTTTCTTTTCTTCACTCAGTTAAACTCCATTAATTTTAACTTGTCTGAAGTTTTCTTTTAACAGAAGTGAGAGAGAAGGGAGGGAGTGACCAGGTTCTTTTTAAAAATCAGCTCTCCTAGGAACTAATAGTCGGTTTGTGTTGATATAAAGGAATACCTAAAACTGAGTAATTTATAAAGAAAATAAGTTTATTTGGCTCATGGTTTTGCAGATTGTACAAGAAATATGGTATTGGTATCTGGTGATGGCCTCAGGCTGCTTCCACTCTTGGTGGAAGGCAAAGGGGAGCAAGTGTGTAGAGATCTCGTGGTGGCAAGTGAGAGCAAGAGAAGGGAGGGAGGATGCCAGGCACTTTTTAACAACCAGCTCTCAGAGAAACTAATAGAGCAAAAACTCACTCATCTAGTTTCCCTTCAACACTGAGGTCCTTTAATCTATTTATGAGGGATTTGTCTCCATGACCCAAACACCTCCCACTAGGTCCTACCTCCAATATTGGGAATCAAATCTCCACATGAGGTTTGGAGGGTCAAATGTCCAAACCATAGCAGGAAGTGACACAGCAGCTAACACATATGGGAACTAGAAAGCCCCAAAGCAGCAAACAGTTACTCACTGGAAATTTTAGTAAACTAATTTGAGAAAGCAGCTGAGAATGGGAATGCTTCCAATTTTCAGGTGAGTTAAGTGATCTGTAAAAAGGTTAAAGGAGTTGAAGCAGTCTGCACCCTAACAATTCTTGAAAGTAATCATCTGAAACTCCCAGGACAAGGCCCACATTGAGTAAAATCCCCAAAATTGATCAGGAGATATTCCAAAGACAGAAGAATCTCCAAACTGAGCGAAAGAGAGAAAATCTAAACTAAACTGAGGTTAGAGTAAAGAAGCAGAAGTTTTCAAAGAAAGGGCCATTTTTGAAAATAATTTTGTGAAAACAACAGAAGGAACTCTACAGCTATGAAGCTAGAAAAGCTCTTGCTACCCACCCTTCCTATCTAAAGCTCAAAAAAGTAATGGCATGTTAAAACAAGCAACAGAAAAGTATTGTGGCTGAATCTCATACAAGATTGCTACAGAGAAATAAAGAGTGAATATGAAAAACAGAATAAGAACTGACAGAAAAAAGTATATCAGAAAGGCAATCCCACAAAACAGATTAAAATTATAATCTAACATTTCAAGATAAGCTAAAATACATTAAGAAAATTATAGAAAATATAAAATACAAATAAGACATCTCAGAAAAATGAGACAATAAAACTCAGAAAAGAATTAGAAATTGATCAAAAGTATTTCAAAAATCAATTCAAAATTAGAAGAAACGCATAAGTGATATTGAGAAATAGAAGGTAAAAAGGAGGAAGATTTTTACTTTACTAATTTTTAAGTTGTCAATGAAAATTAGAAGTCACTGTGTTTTCAGAGTAAAAATAATCTTAAATATTTATGTCAGTGCCATCATAACTTACTAAGCACTTACGTGGCTTAGATACACAGTTTAACTTTAGGAAAATCTTAATAAATACATCACTGATTCTTATATCAAATAACATAATTCTTACTACATTCTTGCCTTATATAAAAGTTAGTGCTTTATAACCCATGTAATTTTCTGCGTACTGTTTCAAATAACTACAGGCTTTGAAAATTCAGAGGTTCTTAATACTATAAAAAAATAAAATGTTAAATCTATAAGCATTAGAAGAACTCCAGTTTATTTTCTTTTTTTCCATTTTTTTATTATACTTTAAGTTCTGGGGTACATGTGCAGAACATGTAGGTTTGTTAAATAGGTATACACGGGCCATGGTGGTTTGCTGCACCCTTCAATCCATTATCTACATTAGGTATTTCTCCTAATGCTATCCCTCCCCTAGCCCCCCACCTCCTGACAAGCCCTGGTGTGTGAAGTTCCCTTCCCTGTGTCCATGTGTTCTCATTAAAGAATTCCAGTTTTTAAGGAAAAAGTCAGAAGCTAAGTAAACAACTTCTGAATAAAAAAGGGACAAGAAATATTTAAGAGAAAGTGACATATATAGGAGATGGCAAATAAAATCCTACATTCACATGAAAGGAGTCACAAAGAAGAATTTTTAAACATAAGCCCAATACATCCTGTTTCTCCTGCTGAATATAAGTGAAAAATTTGAAGCAACAACAAAAAGAAACTATATGAAGACCCTGTAAAGTAAACAAAAGCAAGCAAACTGGGAAGTGTCAAAGTGAATAAATAATCCATATATAGGGAGTCGTTCCATTTTTTTTTTTTTTTGCTTTTATCTTGTAACTTTAACTCATATGGGTTGCCCCATTTGCAGAACAGCCAAGGAGCATCTCAGGAAGCTAAAACTCTGAGAGAAATAATGTCTTTCTGACCAGAGAACAAGGAAAAGAAAATTCTTCAGGCTGAAGAGAGTGGGAGGGGAGAGAGCTGAAGCGAGGATCTTCTAATACTGTTTATAAACCTGCAAAAGGCCTGGGGTTATTTTAAAGCTGCGCAAATGTGATAGAAACCCAAATTGGCATAAGCAAAAGCTTTTATTACTAAACTGAACATTGATACCACTATCCAAAAAGTGTGACGACAGAACTTACAGTATGAACCTAACTGTATTGATGGCCTGCTGAAACAAATGTTCACCAGAGAGTTTTTTTTTTATTGACATATAAACTTTTTTTTCTTTTTGGTGAATTTTTCTATGAGTTGTGACAAATGCAGAGAATCATGGAAGCACCACCACAGCCAAGGTACTGAACAGTTAAGTAACGTACCAAAACATTTCCCTGTGTTACTTTTTATGGTAAAATTCTCCACCCACCCTTAGCCCTTGTCAGATCTGTTCTCCATCACTATAGTTTGCCTTTCCAAAATATCAAATAAAAAGGATCATACAGAATTTAGCCTTTTAAATCCAGTTTCTTTCATTAAGTACAGTGCAATAGAGAATTATCCAAAAATGAACTACTTGGGAGTAAACCTTTTAAACGTGTGTGAAGAATGTGTATGTGTGCATATATATATATATATATATATATATATATATATATGTACACATACACAAATATATATATATACATACACAAACATATATATACACACACATACACAAACATATATATACACACACACACATGCTTGTTGTATAATATATATATATTGAAAACTACAAAAGACTTGAAAGAAATCTAAGAAGATATAAATGAAAGGACAGCTTTACCAAGTTTATATTGGGAGACTCAATACTGGTGGTAAGATGTCAATTTTCCCAAATTGATCTTTAGATTCAATGCAATTGATCAAAATTCCAGCAAGGTTTTGCAGATACCATCAAGCTGATTTTGAAATGTACATAGAGAATTTCCATTTTGGGCCAAGATGAAGTAACAGAAAGGAGATTTACTCTCCTACATGAAACAACTAAATCAATAATCAAAGTGTATTAAACAATAGTTTCCACGATTTGAGGCATCAGGCAACAAAAGACCGTGATCACTCAGAGAAGGAAAACAAATAAGATGAGCCCTATAATTTCCGCTACAATTTATATACAAAAAAGTTGTTTGTTTATGGTGTAGAGTTCTAGGAGTTTTGACAAATACAGCATACAGCCTTCAGTGTTTCCAAGCTGAAGTGCAGGGAGGGAAAACCCAGTAAAACCTTAATTACACAGCTATAGAAACTATAAAAATAAAACATAGAGAAAAAACTTTTAAAACTGAATAGAGTGTCAGTGAGCTGTAGGATTATTCCAGTCTATATACACAAAATTGGAACACCACAAGGAAAGGATAGAGAGGGAAAGGCAGAAAACAACAAATAAGGACATATGGAGTAATATCAGGTAAATAGAAATAAAATAACAACAAAGCAAGACTCACAATTTTGACACCTAATTCAGAACAAAAAGCCTCAAAAAGAACAAGGATGCTTTGAAATGTAACTAAAATTCACAATGTTATGATAATTATCTTTATTATTACTACTATTATTATTTGTATACACAATAGGAGCAACAATTTAATAAAACAGAAACTATAAAGGATACAAGAAGTAATAGAAATAAGAATTAATAATAGAGGACTTTGACACACCTCATTCTGTTCAGTACAAATCAAGTGGAAAATATAGTAACAATGCAGAACAACTAAACAGGATAATCAATAAAATATATGCAATATAACTTCAACTCATAAACCACACTCATAGAAACTGTACTTTCTTTTTAAATGACCATAAATCATTCACAAAACTACCCATATTTTAGCCCCAAAGAAGATCTCAATAAATTTCTAAGAATAAATATTATACAAACTGCATTCTTTGACTATAATGCAATAAAACAAGAAATTAACAGTCATCCCACTACCAAAAAATGGTTTTTCTACCTAGAAAACTAAGACAAAACATAGTACTAAACAACCTTTTAGTCAAGTGGGAAATAGAAAGTAAAATGACATAATGTAATAAATTTAATAATAAAGAAAACATGAAATATCAAACCCTATGTTATGTGGCTAACCAGATATCAGATGAAATTTTATATTTCATATTTAAGATATTTCATATTTAAAATATATTTTAAAATTTTATAATATTAAATACCTATATAAGAACACCAACATCAATAAAAATTAAAAATAAATTAATTAAACACATTTCAGAAGGCTAGAAAAGACAGACAAGATGGCCGACTAGATACAACCAGGAGAAACATCTGGAAGAACAACAGGAAGACTGGCACACCCTAAGCAGACCTTTGGAGGGAAGGCATTAAGAGTGGATGAAAGAAAGACACAGGTGTTGTTCTAAAGGAGGAAGAAGTTAGAAACCCTGCATGGGGCTAGAACACATCAGGACTCATTCCTGGCCCTCAGTGACTCCTGGGGAAGGGGTGAGTTGAGTGGGCAAGAAATGACAGATTTTCCCCATGGATATCTAGAATCTTGACAGCCGGAGATCCCACAACCCCCACAGACACTAGAGCTGGCAGGAAGATTTGCTTAAGGGGGTGGTAGGGACAGAACTCCAGCTGATGTAAAACCCAGGGGTCTTGGTGTGGGAGCATCTGTAGTGGAGCACGGCTAGGGACGCCCATCCCCCAAAGCTAGTCTTGTTTCCCTCAGAGACTTTAGCCTCAGGGGAACTGCTGGACTTGAACAAAGCAGGAAAATCTGGTATATGAGATGAGGCAGGTCCAACCTGTGCACAACCCTGTCTGCTGGCCTCTCCTAGGGCCCCAGCCTGTACATGGTTGCTTGCAGTGCAGCCTCAGATACTGAGCCTGGGTGCCTCCTGAGGGCCTATATTATAGCTCCTGTTTATTATATTATATTATATTATATTATAGCTCCTATATTATATTATAGCTCCTGAGGGCCTATATTATAGCTCAGGCAGAGTGTGCCTGACTGCTGGAGAGCTCCAGTGCCATGGCCATCAGTGCCTCACTCCCACACTGACACTGCTACTAGTATGAATCTGCACACAGAACCCAGGGGCCCTTTACCCCACCCTGTACCACCACTGCCAGCAGAATGAATGAGTGCATGGAGAGCACCAGCCCTGAACCCACCGGTTCCCTACACCAAGCTGACACCATCACCAGGGTGAACACATGCACTATGCTAGGGCCCCACCCCACCATGTGCTGAACCACCACTGCCATCACTGTGAATGCCCACATGGAGGCCAGCACCACCATGCCCACCAGCACAGTTGACAAGCATGCACCCTACCACATTGCTGTTGCTAACACATGCATATGAGCACAGATCCCACTGGCACTGCCCAGTGAAGCATTTTGGCTCCAATGCACCAATTGGAGCATTGTAACCAGCAGTCCCGGAACACTTTGGCCCCACCAGTGCAGCAGGCCACTAACCTGAAGAGCCAGAGAACAAAGCTGGGGTCCCAATACCAGGCCTCCAGAGTTAGAGCACACAGCCCAGGAGTTTTGAGCTGAGCCTTGGTTCCCTAAAATCTTGCATAACTGAAGCCAGTTGACTAAACACATCTTATACCACAATCAAACGTCCAAGGACACCAAACAAAATTAAAAAAAAAAAAGACAGCAACTTCAAAGACTGAAGGAACATTAGCCCACGAAAATGAGAAAGTACTAGTGTGAGAACACTGGCAACTCAAGAAGCCAGAGTGTCTTCTGAAATCCAAACAACCGCACTAGTAACCCAACAATGGTTCTTAACCAGGCTGAAATGACACAAATAGTAGTAAGAATATAAATAGAAGCAAAGATTATCAAGATTCAGGATAAAGTCAAAACCCAAACCAATGATTCTAAGGAATACAGTAAAATAATATAGGAGATAAAAGACAAAATGGTTGTTTTAAGAAAGAACCAAACTGATCCCATAGAGCTTAAAAACTCACTTCAGGAATTTCAGAATACAATCACAAGTATTAATAGCAGAATCAGCAAATGTGAGGAAAGAATGTCAGAGTTCAAAGACTGGCTTTCTAAAATAACTTAGACAAAAATAAAGAAAAAATAAAGAAGAATGTATAAAACCTCTGAGAAACATGAGATTGTGTAACACAACCAACTCTATGACTCATTGGTGTCCCTGAAAGAGGGGGAGAGAAAGAAAGCAACTTGAAAAACATATTTCAGGATATCATTCATGAAAACTTCCCCAACCTCATTAGAGAGGCCAACACTTAAATTCAGGAAATGCAGAGATTCCTGTGAAATACTACACAAGAAGACCATCCCCAAGACACATAGTAAACAGATTCTCTAAGGCCAAAATGAAAGAAAAAATGTTAAAGGCAGCTAGAAAGAAGGAGAAGGCCTACTACAAAGGAAACTTCTCAGGCTAACAGCAGACCTTTCAGCAGAAACACTATAAGCCAGAAGAGATTAGAATCCTATATTCTACATTCTTAAAGAAAACAACTTTCAACCAAGAATCTTATTTCCACCAAACTAAGATTTATAAGTGAAGGAGAAACAAAATCATTTTTAGACAAACAAATGTTAAGGGAATTTGTTACCACCAGATATGCTTTACAAGAGGTCCTGAAGGAAGTGCTAAATATGGAAAAAAAAGGCTGTTTCTAGCCACTACAAAAATATACTTAAGTACATAGT